>NC_000021.9:43775961-43929857 GCF_000001405.40 Homo sapiens
CCCACTCGCCCTTGCTGTATTCAGCGGAGCCCAATGTCTCCCCAGCGGCGCCCCAGGCGCGGCCCCCCGCTGCTCACTCGCGCGCAGCGCCCGAGCGGAGGGAGGCCTCTCACGGCCACAGCCCGGGCCAGCCCAGGGGTGCGCAGCGGGGCCAAAGCGGCTTCTTTCGCTCCAGGAGCCGCGGCCGCGCCCTGAGGCTAAGGCAGGACTCCGGGCCGGCCCCGTCCCCGCGGCCCACCCACCTGGTCGGCGATGTGCTGGGTCTCGGCGGTGGCCGGCTGCGTGGCGGAGGGCGCCCCGCACATCATCTTGGCGGCGACGGAGGGAATCTGGCGAGGGGACTCGGCGAGGGGACGCGGCGGCTCCTCAGCCCAAGTAGGCGCTGGGGTCACGTGACGCGCGGGCGGAACCAAGGGGCGGGGAGGAGGCACTTTGGCTTCGGAGTCCCCTGCGGGGTCGCGGTGGCCCCGCAAGAAGGGACGCGCGGGGCGGGGCGCGGGGCGGGGCGCGGGGCGGGGAACCTGGCCACCACTCGCCGCAGGCTGGGTCTCCGCGCCCAGCGCTGGTGTCGGGAGGGAGCGCCCCCCTCCCGGGGCTGGTATCGTCTTTCCGGGCGCCGAGTCACACGGACCGGGGCGGGGGCGCGGCCGGGTGTCGCCGGTGGGTTGGGCGCGCAGGGTGGGACGATAGGGAAGGGGCAGTCGGAGTAGGCGCAATCCTGCAGGGTGGCGGGGTCCGGGCCGCGCACGAGGGAGGGCGGGGCGCAGCGCTGCAGGGGTCAGGGGTCAGGGGTCCCGGCCCCGCGGGAGCAGGTGTGCGGGCTGCAGTGGACATCACCGCTTGTGACCGAGAACACTGAAGGCTGAAGGGGGTGGACAGAGGGGCCCAGGGAGGGGGAGACGGCGCCCACGCGCTCCAGGCTGGGTGGGGGCAGGGGGTAGATCAGAGGGATGAGAAGAAGGCAGGGTTCTCTGGTGGAATTTGCGTTTTAGGATTTCTTTTCTTTCTTTCCTTTTCTTTTCTTTTTTTTTTTTTTTTTTTTTTTTTGAGACGGAGTCTCGCTCTGTCTCCCAGGCTGGAGTGCAGTGGCGCGATCTCGGCTTACTGCAGGCTCCGCCTCCCGGGTTCACGCCATTCTCCTGCCTCAGCCTCCCGAGTAGCTGGGACTACAGGCGCCCGCCACCACACCTGGCTAATTTTTGTATTTTTAGTAGAGACGGGGTTTCACTGTGTTAGCCAGGATGGTCTCGATCTCCTGACCTTGTGATCCACCCGCCTTGGCCTCCCAAAGTGCTGGGATTACAGGTGTGAGCCACTGCGCCCGGCCTTTTTTTTTTTTTTTTTGAGACGGAGTCTGGATCTGTCGCCTAGGCTGGAGTGCAGTGGCGCAATCTCGGCTCACTGCAAGCTCCGCCTCCGGGGTTCACACCATTCTCCTGCCTCGGCCTCCCGAGTAGCTGGGACTACAGGCGCGCGCCTTCATGCGCAGCTAATTTTTGTGTTTTTAGTAGAGACGGGGTTTCACCATATTGGCCAGGCTGGTCTCGAACTCCTGACCTCGTGATCCACCTGCCTCGGGCTCCCAAAGTGCTGGAATTACAGGCGTGAGCCACCGTACCTGACCTCTTTTCTTTCTTTCTTTTTTTTTTTTTTGACAGAGTCTTGCTCTGTTGGCCAGGCTGGGGTGCAGTGGCCTGATCACAACTCATTGCAGCCTGGACCTCCTGGGCTCAAGCGATCTTCCCACCTCAGCTGCTATAGTAGCTGGGACCACAGGCCCACCCTACCACACACATATATAGAGACAGAGAGTTTCACCATGTTACCCAGGCTGGTCTGGAACTTCTGAGCGATCTGTCCACCTCGGCCTCCCAAAGTGCTGGGATTATTGGCATAAACCACTGCACCCCTAATTTTTTTAAAAAGTGTTTTTGTAGAGATGGAGTCTCACTATATTGCCCAGGCTGGTCTTGAACTCCTAGGCTAAAATCGATCCATCCCCCAAAGTGCTGGGATGACAGGCTTGAGCCACCACACAGTCCCTTTGGTTTAGGGTTTCTGTTAGACTGGACCACCTGCGGAAGGGAAGGGTCGCTTGCCTTATTTGGGGTGGGGGTGGGGCCTGTGCTAGGCACCTGTTGGTGTGATTGACTCCTCAAAATGACCCAGAGCCCCCACCCAAGGGCTGTCCCTCAGGGGGACTGGTCCGCTCCTGCATGCAAGGCCCCAGCTGGAGCGGCCCATGAATGGGTTGTGGGGTCCTTTCTCTTACCTGCCAGGGCACAGCCTGGTCTGTCACTTCAGGGAAGGGCCCAAAGGGGTGGGCAGTCAGGTGTGGTTGAAGCCTGGGGGGAGCGGGGCAGAGCCCCCCATCATTGTTGAATGAGTGAAGGCAGAGTTGACCCCACGAAAATGGAAAACTCTTCTATGTGGAAAGCAAAGCATCAGGGGAAAACATAGTCAAGAAGAGAAAGGGATGTTCCCGCTGCTTGTACGGTTCCTGCAGCTCTGTTGGGCTTGTGCCGTGGAAGGTGTTGGCCTTGAGGCCTTTGTTCCTGAGGTGCTTCCTGGAGTCGGATCCTCACTCTCCTTGCTGGAGCTGGTCCCAGGTGCCTCCGTTTTACAAATAGGAGGATAACAGCTGTGGAAATAAAGCCCACGCAAATGAGAACAAAAGACGATTTATTCAGGACTTGCTGTACAAGGGAGTCGCCGTCCTCTCTTGTGTTGACCGAGATTCCTCAGCAGGCGGGGGCAGAGCCGGGGAAAAGCCTGGAATGGGAAGGGGAGGCTCAGGTGCACCTGAGGGAGGCTGTGGCCTGGGGAGACGGAAGAGGGGCTCACTAGGAGTGTGACCGTGACAGGTCCGTTGCCTAGGGTGCAGGAAGTCAGCACACTGCCACCCAGGGTTTGCAGCAGACAGTTTGAACCGCAAGGTTGTAACTGGGAGGAGACCTCAAATCCATCTCCCTGAGGAGTTTGGGGCTGGGAACTTTCAGGGGTTTGGAGTGGGCTGAGGGCGGGGGCTGCTGACCGGTGGAGAAGTGCAGGGTGAAGCAGGGTGGAGTCATGGGGTGGGGTTGAAGATGCTGTATTCTCATGCTGGTTCACTTCCTCTGTGGGGCTCTTCAAACTGGTTGGCCTGGAATTAAGGATCTGAAACGTCTTAAGGAATTCTTAAACAAAAGCCTCATGATTCTGAAGTCAGAGATTCCGTCCATAGGAACAGTAGGGGTGCAGATAGTCACTAGCGCTACGTGACTTTCAGTTAGAAGGAAGTGGGTTAAAGTGTAGCCTGACAAATGCTGAGTTATCCTTCTCTTCCTCCCTCCCCCCTCCCTCCCTCCCTCTCTCTCTCTCTTTTTCTCTCTCTCTGTCTCTTTCTCTCTTTCTTTCTTCAGAGTCTCGCTCTGTCATCCAGACTGGATGGAGTGCAGTGCCATGATCTTGGCTCACTGCTGCAACCACTGCCTCCCGGGTTCAAGCGATTCTCCTGCCTCAGCCTCCCGATTAGCTGGGATTACAGGTGCGTGCCACCAAGCCCAGCTAATTTTTGTATAGAGACGGGGTTTCACCATGTTAGCCAGGCTGGTCTTGAACTCCTGACCTCAGGTGATCCACCTGCCTCGGCCTCCCAAAGTGTTGGGATTACAGGCATGAGCCACCACACCCGGCCTGTAACTCTATTTCTGCTGAATGCTTAGTTATAATAAATATATAATAAATATAATATATAATATATAATAAATGTACAGAACCTGGGCAGAAAGCTTCTGGCTAGCCGTGAAAGTTGAGGTTTGGCCTCTGGACAGTCGCTGTGGCTCAGAGTTCTCTTCCCATATTTGGTCTGGCTGTTTTCTGTTTGTGTGTTCATTGTCTCGCAATGTCAAAGCTGCCTTCGTGCTGCAGGTGTGGGTGCAAGCAGATGTTTTCAAACCATCTTGGAGGGCAGGTGCTGGAGCCCAGCTGCCTGAGTGTGGACCCAGCCCTTCTTCGCACCTGCTGTGTGGTGAAGGACTAATTGCTGAAACTCTCTGTGCCTCTCTCTGTGGGGATAATGCTAATAACCAATCTCAAATTTTTTTTTAAAGGACTAAGTGAATTAGTAATTAAGTACAAAAAGCTTGGGACAGTGTCTGAGCTCCAGGGTGAGTTGTCAGTATTGTTATTATTGGTATGCTAATCAAAGCCAACCTAGAATTTGTATTACTTTTCCAATCAAAAGCCCTGGAATTTTTTATTTTATTTATTTATTTTTTTGAGACATGGTCTGATTCTGTTGCCCACACTGGAGTTCGGTGGCACGATCACAGCTCACTGCAGCCTGACCTCCCAGGCTCAAGCAATCTTCCCACCTCAGCCTCCTGAGTAGCTGGGGCCACAGGTGTGCACCACCATGCCTGGCTAATTTTTTTCATTTTTTGTAGAGCTGGAAGTCTCACTATGTTGCCCAGGCTAATCTTGAAATCCTGGGCCCAAGTGATCCTCCCACCTCTGAAACCACCTTTGCAAAAATTGTATCCATGAGAAAATGGTGGCAGTGGGAGAGATCTGAACCAGCTGACCCGGCTCTGGCCTTTAGCTTTTAAGCTGCCTTGATTATTCCTGGGTTTAGGCTGAGCTAACTTTGGCAGACATTTAGTTTACAGTTTAGATGATACTGGCCCTTCCCCAAAACTCAACCACCTTTGCAAAGCTCATGAGAGACTAGGCTAGGAGAAGGAGAGGAGCCTGGGTTCAGCTAAGGTGTAGACAAACAATTGCCAGCCATTATTCTGGAGGTCACAGGACAGCAACCTCCCCAGTTAGTCCTGCAGTTAATGTCGCTATTGTAGACTGGCCTTTTGAGATACTTTTGCAGGTTTTGGGCATGTCTGACACCCATGGCTCTACCTGGACCCACTGACCATGGCTCCTGTGGCCCCTCCCAGAAGCAACTCAGTGCAAAAGGACATCTTCCCATGATGTCATCTCCGACCCACTCGGTCAGCAGCAAGCACCCATTGCCCAGCCACACCAACCCCTTCCCCCAAACCACTTTTGAAAAACCCTAACCCACAGGCCTGCAATGAGGTTGATTTGAATAATTACTCCATCTCCCTTGTGGCATGGCCAGGCCAGCCTCACATCAATTCACTTTTTTTTTTTTTGAGACAGAGTCTCCCTCTGTCGCCCAGGCTGGAGTGCAGTGGTGCAATCTTGGCTCACTGCAACCTCTGCCTCCCGGGTTCAAGCGATTCTCCTGCCTCAGCCTCCCAAGTAAGTGTGATTATAGGCATGCATCCCCATGCCTGGCTAATTTTTGTATTTTTAGTAGAGACGAGGTTTCACCATGTTGGCCAGGCTGGTCTCAAAACTCCTGACCTCAGGTGATTCACCCCCCTTGGCTTCCCAAAGTGCTGGGATTATAGGTGTGAGCCACCGTGCCTGACAATTAACTTTCTTTTCTTCAGTGCCGTGGCCTTTGTACAGCAGGCAGGAAGAACCTGTTGGGCGGTCCCACCTTGGCCTCCCAAAGTGCTGGGATTACAGGCATGAGCCATCACGCCCAACCATGCTGACTTTTACCTCCCATTCTTTGATGCCAGAGTTTTTCATTTACTGAAGGCAAGGGGACAAGACCAAATACCTTGTCTCCCCACTTAGAGAATGAGAAAGAAAAAAATTATGAATATTTCTTATCTGAGGAAAATGAACCCTTTTTTTTTTTGAGATGGAGTCTCGCTCTTGTCACCAGGCTGGAGTGCAGTGGTGCGATCTTGGCTCACTGCAAGCTCCTCCTCCTGGGTTGACACCATTCTTCTGCTTCAGCCTCCCAAGTAGCTGAGACTACAGGCACCCGCCACCATGCCCGGCTAATTTTTTTTGTATTTTTAGTAGAGACAGGGTTTCACCATGTTGGCCAGAATGGTCTCGATCTCCTGACCTCGGGATCTGCCTGCCTTGGCCTCCCAAAGTGCTGGGATTACAGGAGTGAGCCACCAGGCCCGGCTGAAAGCGAACCCTTTTAAGTTATCAGGCCCAGAGAGAAATTAAAATGAGACAGTAATCACATGCTGTTTCTCCTAGAGCTGTGTCACCATCTCTGGAGACTGCTTCCTCTCACCACAAGTAGCTGTAAGTGAACCTAAGGATGCTGCACACAGGACACCGTAATCCCATACAATGTATAGCCAATCACTAATCAATATTATTTCTGTAAACCAATGAGAATTCCTGATAGACAATTTTGTATCAGCCTGCTCCTTGTCCCCCTTTTGTCTTTAAAAACCTGCTTGTCGGCTGGGCGTGATGGCTCACACCTACAATCCCAGCAGTTTGGGAGGCCAAAGCAGGTGGATCACGTTAGGTCAGGAGTTCGAGACCAGCCTGGCCAACATGATGGAACCCCGTCTCTATTAAAAATGCAAAAAAATTAGCTGAGCTTGGTGTCTGGCACCTGTAATCCCAGCTATCTGGGAGGCTGAGGCAGGAGAATCACTTGAACCTGGGATGCTGAGGTTGCAGCGAGCCGAGATTGTGCCACTGCACTCCAGCCTGGGCAACAGGAGTGAAACTCCGTCTAAAACAAACAAACAAACAAACAAACAAACAAAACCCTGCTGTCACGAAGGTCAAAAGCAGCTCTCACCAAGGCAATGTGGAAGTGTGTCTTGCTGTCCTCAACTTTAGCCCACGCACAGTCTCTACATCAATTCTGCCTCAGCTTCTTCCTTCAACAAGGAAGAAAGGAAGGAAGGACTGACAAGACCTGGGGGCACCTCAGAGACTTTGAACATCACTTACATTTGAAATCTGTATTCAGAAGAATCAAAGTTTGAAATCTAAACTATTTCAGAATCTCACTTTTGAAATATTGGATTTCCCCAGGGTCAGTAGAACCCTAGTGTGTTTGATTGCTTGATTTTTCTTCCATGTGCCTTCTTCCTCAGCATGCTGATCAGGTTTCTTGGGGGTTTTTTTGGGCTTCCTGTTAATACTCCTAAGCAGGTGACTCATACACCTGTTCCTGGTTCCAATCAGTTGTTTGTGTTTCCATTATGCAAGAGTTTCATCATGAGAATTTGTTGTTAATTAAATTCTAGACATCAGAGGGTCTCAGCCCAAGCAATAGGTGTTGGGGGCTGTGGGCACCAGGCGCTGCAGGGGGACTGTGGGCCCCATCCTGGCACCCTGTTCATGAACCTGCAGGTGATGCTGTGGGGAGCTCTGCCTGGTGCGAAAACTGCTGACGTGGTGGGCTAAGGCGGTCAAACCCCTCTGTTGCAGGATGTCCCAGTGGACCTCAGGTCCTTCCTGTTTGCTGAGCTTGTGTTTCAGCTGCCTTTCTTTCCCACTGCAAACCCTGCCTTCTTCCAAAAGCTGCCGGTAGATCCAAAGCCCTGCAGACTTCTACTCAGGTTGCGACATGGCAACGTGAATGCCAGTACTCTCCACATTTCTATTTGAGGATTTCGCAAAAGCTAGTGGCTTCCAAGGACAAAGGCCTGAGACCGTGCACGAACCATTCACCCTTGCATCTGGCTGTGCACCTTACTCACACGTCCCTTTCATATGTCTGCGTTGGCTGTTGAAGAGCTCCTACTGCAAGTATGCAAGTGTGGGGAGAAAAGAAAGAAAATGAGGGAAACAACCAGTGAGCCTGGGAGGGAGGCCCGCGGGGCACTTGCCTGTGGGACCCAATACGAGGAAAACCGCTCAGAACCCAGGTCTTCAGCAGCATTCGAAACACACAAGGGCAAGATGGTGGCAGGAGTGTCATTAAACTCTCATCCTGCACGGGCACTGGGACGGACAGATCAGTCAGCGGTGGGTGTGCAGTGCGCTGTGGGCTATGTCATAGGGATGTGGTACCCAGCACATCAGTGTGTGACCAGGTCTTGCTGTAGGATGACTGAGCAGGACCACAACAGAAACTGGATGAGCTTCTAAGAGCATGGCCTGCTTGACACTGTTACAGGAAAGGGGTCCCGATCCGGACCCCAAGAGAGGGTTCTTGGATCTCTCACAAGAAAGAATTCAGCGCAAGTCCGCAGAGAAAAGTGAAAGCAAGTTTATTAAGAAAGTAGAGGAATAAGAGAATGACTATTCCATAGAGCAGCCCTGAGGACTGCTGGTTGCCCATTTTTATGGTTTTTTTTTGATGACATGCTAAACAAGGGGTGGATTATTCATGCCTCCCCTTTTTAGACCATATAGGGTAACTTCCTGATGTTGCCATGGTATCTGTAAACTGTCATGGTGCTGGTGGGAGTGTAGCAGTGAGGATGACCAGAGGCCACTCTTGTGGCCATCTTGGTTTTGGTGGGTTTTAGCCGGCTCCTTTACTGCAACCTGTTTTATCAGCAAGGTCTTTATGGCCTGTAGTTTGTACTGACCTCCTATCTCATCCTGTGACTAAGAAGGCCTTAACCATCTGGGAATGCAGCCCAGTAGGTCTCAGCCTCATTTTACCCAGCTCCTATTCAAGATGGAGTCGCTCTGGTTCAAACACCTCTGAACATGTTCATGCATTGTTTGACCCACAGTAGATAAGCCTGAGGCTAAGCCCTTGACTCATAATTCTCGAGAGCATATCACCAATCAGGAAAATGAATAGTGGCAGCCAGGTATGATGGCTCATGCCTGTAATCCCAGCACTTTGGGGGACCAAAGTGGGAGGGTCGCTTGAGCCCAGGAGTTCAAGATCAGACTGTGCAAGGTAATGAGACCCCATCTGTGATGGTTCATACTGAGTGTCAACTTGATTGGGCTGAAGGATGCAAAGTACTGATCCTGGGTGTGTCTGTGAGGGTGTTGCCAAAGGAGATTCATATTTGAGTCAGTGGCTGGGAAAGGCGGACCCACCCTTAATCTGGGTGGGCACCATCTAATCAGCTGCCAGCAAGGCTAGAATATAAAGCAGGCAGAAAAATGTAAAAAGACGAGACTGGCCTAGCCTCCCAGCCTACATCTTTCTCCCGTGCTGGATGCTTCCTGCCCTCGGACATCGGACTCCAAGTTCTTCAGTTTTGGGACTCAGACTGGCTCTCCTTGCTCCTCAGCTTGCAAACAGCCTACTGTGGGACCTTGTGATCGTGAGAGTTAATAATTAATAAACTCCCCTTTGTGTGTGTGTGTGTGTGTATATATATATATATATATATATATAAAATAGGATATATATATATATATAAAATAGGATATATATATATATATAAAATAGGATATATATATATATATCCTATTAGTTCTGTCCTTCTAGAAAACCCTGACTAACACACCATCTCTACAAAAAATAAAAAATTAGCTAGCTGAGGTGATGCACACCTGTGGTCCCAGCTATTCAGAAGGCTGGGGTGGGAGGATCACTTGAGCCCTGGAGGTCGAGGCTGCAGTGAGCTGTGATTGCAACACTGCATTCCAGCCTGGGAGATAGAGTGAAACTCTGTCTCTTAAAAAAATAAATAAAATAAAATAAAATAAAAGTAGTGGGACATTTCAGGCCGTTTAAAAATTTGAAATTTTGGTCTTTAATATTCATTAAAAACCAGGTCATATTTTCTTGTCTCCACCTCTAGCCCGGGGGAAAAGAGAAAATACAGTGAAAAAGAGGTTTAAACTTAGTTTTCCTTAAGGCTGAGCCCTAGTGTGACTTTCAGTCAGAAATGGGTTATACTGTGGCCAGGCGTGGTGGCTCACGCCTGTAATCCCAGCACTGTGGGAGGCTGAGGTGGGCTGATCACTTGAGGTCAGGAGTTCGAGACCAGCCCGGGCAACATGGCGAAACCCTGTCTCTACTAAATATGCAAAAATTAGCCAGGTGTGGTGGTGGGCGCCTGTAGTTGCAGCTACTCAAGAGGCTGACACAGGAGACACTTGAACCTGGGAGGCGGAGGTTGCAGTGAGCTGAGATCACGCTACTGCACTCCAGCCTGGGTGACAGAGCAAGACTCTGTCAAAAAAAAAAGGGGGAGGAGGTTACCCTGGAGAGCGTTTTTGTTTCTGCCTTCAACAGGTCATGCCAGCAGAAGAGATTTTTTTTTTTTTGAGACGGAGTCTCACTCTGTCGCCCAGGTTGGAGTGCAGTGGTGCTATCTCGGCTCACTGCAAGCTCTGCCTCCCAGGTTCATGCCATTCTCCTGCCTCAGCCTCCCAAGTAGCTGGGACTACAGGCGCCCGCCACCACACCCAGCTAATTTTTTGTGTTTTTAGTAGAGACGGGTTTCACCTATGAGGTCTGGATCTCCTGACCTCGTGATCCACCCACCTCAGCCTCCCAAAGTGCTGGGATTACAGGCATGAGCCAGCACGCCCAGCCCGAGAAGAGATTTTTTAAAAGCCACTTTATTCGATTTCCAAATCTTAGTCTTCCATATCTTTAGAGACCACCTGCCATGTCCTTTCCGTCTGAAGCCTGGCATCTCGAGCCTGGTGTGAAGGTGTGCTCCCCAGTGCACAACTTCACCCTCCTAGTACAGCTTAGTCCCTCCCACCCTGTTCTCAGCAGCTGGGTGTGACATACCCGCTATGTGCCTGATATACCCACTATGTGCGAGACATACCCACTGTGCACCTGACATACCCACTGTGAGCCTGACATGCCCATTGCATGCACGATACCACCCACTGTGTGCATGCGACATACCCACTGTGTGCAACATACCAACTGTTTGCATGACATACCCACTGTACACCTGACATGCCCATTGTGCGCCTGACATGCCCACTATGTGCGTGCAACATACCCACTGTGTGCGTGCGACATACCCATTGTGCGCACGACATACCCACTGTGCGCGCGACATGCCCACTGTGCACCTGACATGCCCGCTGTGTGCGTGCGACATGCCCACTGTTTGCATGCGACATACCCACTGTGCACCTGACATACCCACTGTGCGCGCGACATACCCACTGTGTGAGTGCGACATACCCACTGTGCGCGTGAAATACCCATTGTGTGTGTGCGACATACCCACTGTGCGTGCGACACACCCACTGTGCGCATGACACACCCTGTGTGCGCGACATACCCACTGTGCGCCTGACATGCTCATTGTGCGCCTGACATGCCCACTGTGTGTGTGCGACATGCCCACTGTGCGCGTGACATGCCCACTGTGCGTCTGACATGCCCACTGTGTGCGTGCCACATACCCACTGTGCACCTGACATACCCACTGTGCGCGACATACCCACTGTGCATCTGACACGCCCATTGTGCGCGACACACCCACTGTGTGCGTGCAACATACCCACTGTGTGCCTGACACTGTGTGCATGCGACATACCCACTGTGTGCGAGACATACCCACTGTGCGCCTGACATGCCCATTGTGCACCTGACATGCCCATTGCGTGCGTGCAACATACCCACTGTGTGCGTGCGACATACCCACTGTGCGCCTGACATGCCCACTGTGTGCGTGCAACATGCCCACTGTGCGTGACATACCCAGTGTGTGCGTGCGACATACCCACTGTGTGAGTGCAGGGCCTCTTCTCATTCGTGCTTGTCCCCCGGAAAGTCATGTCCGCTGGAACCTCGGAATGTGGCCTTAATTTGGTAAACGGGTCTTTCCAGACATGGTTAGTTAACATGAGGTCATGCTAAATTAAGGCAGGCCTAAGTCCACACTGACTGACGTCCTCATAAGAAGAGGAGAGGCTGGCTGGGTGCAGTGCCTCCCGCCTGTAATCCCAGCACTTTGGGGAGACCGAGGCAGCCCGATCACCTGAGGTCAGGAGTTCGAGATCAGCCTGGCCAACATGGTGAAACCCCATCTCTACTAAAAACACAAAAATTAGCCAGAAATTGCTTGAATCCTGGAGGTGGAGGTTGCAGTGAGCCAAGATCGTGCCACTGCACTCCAGCCCGGGCGACAGAGTGAAACTGTCTCAACAACAACAACAACAACAAGAACTAATTCAGATTCTAAAACCAGTTGCTAAATGTTTCCTTTTTTTTTTCTTTTTAGACAGAGTTTCAAAATCTGTCGCCCAGGCTGGAGTGCAGTGGCCGGATCTTGGCTCACTGCAACCTCCGCCTCCTGTGTTCAAGCAATTCTCTTGCCTCAGCCTCCCGAGTAGCTGGGATTACAGGTGCTCGCCACCACACCCAGCTAATTTTTGTATTTTTAGTAGAGATGGGGTTTCACCATGTTGGCCAGGATGGTCTCGAACTCCTGACCTCGGGTGATCCACCTGCTTTGGCCTCCCCAAGTGATGGTTGGGATTACAGGCATGAGCCACCACTGCCAGCCTTTTCAACTTTTTATGAAAAATTTCATACATAGAAAATGTCAGAAGATAGGTCAATGAAGACCTGTATTCCTGCCTGTAGACGCCACACTTGTATTTTTTTGAGACGGAGTCTCACTCTGTCACCCAGGCTGGGGTGCAGTGGCGCGATCTCGGCTCACTGCAAGCTCCGCCTCCGGGGTTCACGCCATTCTCCTGCCTCAGCCTCCTGAGTAGCTGGGACTACAGGCGCCCGCCACCACGCTCAGCTAATTTTTTGTGTTTTTAGTAGAGACGGGGTTTCACCGTGTTAGCCAGGATGGTCTCGATCTCCTGACCTCATGATCCGCCCGCCTCGGCCTCCCAAAGTGCTGGGATTACAGGCGTGAGCCACCGCGCCCGGCCAACGCCACAACTGTTAACAGTGTGCCATAGTTGCTTATCTGCATACACATATGTGCGTGTAATGATTTACTTTTTTGCAGAATGAATTACAGACATCATGACAGGTCACCTTTACCAAAGAGTTCTGCAGTTATTTCTAAAAATAAAGAATATTTTTCTACTTCAGGGTATGTCAAACTGTGGCCCTAGGCCAAATGCAGCCTCCCCGTTTTTTTTTTTGTTGTTGTTTTTTGAGACAGAGTCTCACTCTGTCGCCCAGGCTGGAGTGCAGCGGCGCAATCTCGACTCACTGCAACCTCCGCCTCCCGGATTCAAGCAATTCTCCTGCCTCAGCCTCCTGAGTAGCTGGGATTACAAGCGCCCGCCACTACGCCTGGCTAATTTTTGTATTTTTAGTAGAGACAGGGTTTCACCATGTTGGTCAGGCTGGTCTCAAACTCCTGACCTCGTGATCCACCCGCCTCAGCCTCCCAAAGTGCTGGAATTACAGGCGTGAGCCACCGCGCCCGGCACACCCCTGGTTTTAAAAATAAAGTTTCGAGCCGAGAGTGGTGGCGCCCGTGGTCCCAGCTCCTCGGGAGGCTGAGGCTGGGGGATCCCTGGAGCCCGCGAGGCAAAGGCTGCAGTGAGCCGAGATCGCGCCTTGCACTCCAGCGTGGGTAACAGAGCGAGACCCTGTCTCAGGAAAAAAATACAAGTGGGGTTATAAATAAAATGAGATTAAAAAACAACAGATCTTTGCCTCAGAATCCCGACCCACCGCAGCCCCAGCGAGGCGCAGGCGCAGGCGCAGGCGCGCGCTCGCTGGTTCCGCCCATGCGCACAGGCAGGGAGCGCGCGCCCCCTCTGTAGCCTTCGGCCTCCGGGGGCTGCAGTTGCGCGGCTCGGCCACTGCGCGGCGGTGGCGTGCGCCTGGGCGGTGTCGCGGGCTGTGACGTCACGCCACGCGCCGGGGCCAGGAGGAGGCGGGCGCAGGAGGCGCGTGCTCAGTGTGCTGGGTACCAGGCGACTCCGGGACAGGGGGTCTCGGCCGTCGGCGTCATGGTTTCGCGCGTGCAGCTCCCGCCTGAGATCCAGCTGGCTCAGCGCCTGGCGGGGAATGAGCAGGTGACCCGGGACCGGGCGGTGAGGAAGCTCCGGAAATACATCGTCGCCAGGACTCAGCGGGCCGCAGGTTGGCGGGGGTGTGGGCGGCTGGCGTCTCGGGGGCCGGCTGGGCTGGTGCGGGTGTGGGCGGCGGCGGCCGGAGCTGGGGGCCCTCCGAGCCCTGTGGAACCTCCACGTGGCCGGGCCGGGCAGGCGGGGTCCACTGGCCTGTTCCCGCTGTTACCGGCCCACGGCCCCCGCCGCCGCTTTCCCTCGTGGTGCGGTGACTCTGGTCCCTCTGCGAGAACGCTCCTCCCCAGCCCCGTAACCCCTTTCCTAGCTCAGGCGTCCCCTCCCTCCAGTAGACCATGTACTCCTGCTGCCCTGCTGTTTGGGCACCCAGTATTTTTCCCTCATGGCAGCATTTCCCACTGTTTGCAGTTTTCTGTTTTGCGTTAATTATTGGATTGTTTTCCGATTTCCACTCGAGAGTACCTCTCTGAGGGCCGAGAATCTACTTCTTGTTCATGGTACCAGGTGGTTCTCCGAGCGTGGTCCCCCATCAGCAGTAGCATCCCCTGGACATTTGTTAGAAATACACGTTCTATGCCGGGCGCAGTGGCCCAAGCCTGTAATCCCAGCTACTTGGCACGTCGATGTGGGAGGATCACAAAGGCCCAGGAGTCCAGCCTGGGCAACATAGCAAGACTCCATTTCCATCGCAAAAGAAAAGAAAGAAATGCAAGTTCTAGGATCCCAGCCCTACTAAATCAGGACTGGCATCTGCTTTATGAAGCTGTTCAAGTGCTTCTGCTCCCCACACTCAGCCTGAGAACCACTGCTGCAGGAACAGGTTGCCAGACACATAGGACTTCAGTGAATGTCAACTGAGTAATGTTTTAAATTAAAATTTTTTGTTATTTTTCTGAGTGAGACAGACCTCACTGTCATCCGTGGTGGAGGAGTGCATTGGCACGATTACAGCTCACTGCAGCCTCTACCTCCCAGGCTCAAGTGAGCCTCCCATCTCAGCCTCCCCAATAGCTGGGACTACTGGCACCGTGCGGCCAGGCCAGCTAAGTTTTGTATTTTTTGTACAAATTGGGGTCTTCCTATGTTGCCCAGACTGGTCTTGAACTCCTGGCCTCAAGTGATCCTGCCTCAGCACTCAATTCCAAAGTGCTGGGAGTACAGGCGTGAGCCACCGCACCTGGCCTCAGTAATTTCTGTTTCTCTCGTAGTCTGAATGCCTGAGTTCACTTTCTTCTTTTAGTATTTGAGATATATTACAGGAGAGTGCAGAAGCCCTCAGTATAATGCTGGATGAATTATCACCAACAGATTAACCTTGTGGCCACTGTCCAGCTTAGGAAACCGTCAAGGTTCGCAATTTTGAATTTCCAAAATGGAGTATGGTGCCTGATACCTTGTAGATCTCAGTCGGTTTTACTGTGTGCGTGAAGTAGCAGTTACCTGGAGTAGCCGCATAGCCACAGGCGCGGCAGGTTCTGGGTTAGAAGGATTGTTTGAAGGGGAGGGCCAGATTCTGCCCCCCAGTTGCCTTTACCGTAAGTGGGACTTTGGTCTCATTCAGGCAGTCACGTTTCTGTGGCTTCCTTTCTGGCACTCGAAGGTGTGGGATTCATTTGGTCCAACCGTTGCTGTTTTGATGCAGGTGGTTTTACGCACGACGAGCTGCTGAAGGTGTGGAAAGGACTGTTTTATTGCATGTGGATGCAGGACAAGCCACTCCTCCAGGTGAGTGGGGGGAGCAGCAGAGCAGGTACAGAAGCAGCGGGGGAGGATGGATGGGCATCTGGTCAACCCAGTTTTTCTTTTTTTTTTAAGTCGGAGTTTCGCTCTTGTTGCCCAGGCTGGAGTGCAGTGGCTCAATCTCGGCTTACTGCAACCTCAGCCTTCTGGTTTCAAGCAATTTTCCTGCCTCAGCCTCCCAAGTAGCTGGGAGTACAGGTACCTGCCACCATGCCTGGCTAATTTTTTGTATTTTTAGTAGAGACAGAGTTTCATCATGTTGGTCAGGCTGGTCTCGAACTCCTGAGCTCAAGTGATCCTCCCATCTCGGCCTCCCAAAGTGCTGGGATTACAGGCATGAGCCACCGCGCCCGGCCTGGTCAACCCAGTTTTAATATGGCCAGAGACCGTGGGGAGGTCGTATAGCCTTGACGCTTGGTTCGGCACGGCTGGTGGGCCTGGGCCTTTGTTAGGTGAGTCTTACACTTGCTGAGGTGTTGATGTGATTGACTGAGCCGTGCACTGCAGCAGCACTGGCATGGGTGAAAACTGGGTTTTGTGTTTGTCCTGGGTTGCAAACAAGTGCTGAAATAGTGGAAACCACGGGGCGGAATTCAAGTCTCCTGAGACAAGGACGTCTCCTGCTAGCCTTTTCCAAACATTGTTTCTCAAATTGTGAATTTTGTGCTCTCCTTCAAAATCTCCTGGGTGGTGAGGGTACTTAGTTAAGTTCAGGTTCCTGGGCCATATTCCATGCCCACTGAATTATCAAGGGGAGGCTGTGAAATGTCCCTTAGCAAGTATTCTGGGCGATGGCTGGCACGGTGATGTAGGCAGATAGCCAGTGATCTATGGGGTCTCGCAGCCCTCTTCCTCCTGATGGTTAGGGGGCTGTGAGTCCCAAGGCTCCCTTCCGCTCTCCCACGTCCCTCTTTAACCGTGACTCTGTGGCTTAGGGCACAGCCTCTGTCAAGAGGGCAGTGCCTGCTGTGGTTGTGTGAGAGGCTGTTGACCCCAGCTGTCTAGAGGGGCCTCCCGTGGTTGTGTGAGAGCCTGTTGACCCTGGCTGTAGAGGGGTCTTTTGGAGCAGGGGTGAAACCTCCAGTGCACTGAGCTGAGACCCCCTGGAAGCCGACTCTCTGTGATGAGTGAGTGAGTGAGTGGGTGAGTGGGTGGTTGCGTGTGTGTCATTGTGAGAGCCTGGTGCTTCAGGGGCTGAGGGCGTTTTTGTTGTTTCCTACACAGGAAGAATTAGGAAGGACTATTTCCCAGCTCGTTCATGCTTTTCAGACCACGGAGGCGCGTGAGTATGCTCTGCTGTAGTTGGGTGCATTTGTAGATGTCAGAACCTCTGAGCATCAGAGCCACCAGACCCAGGAGGTTTGTGTTCTCAAATCCAGAGTAAGGAATGCCTAAGGGCAAGAGAGCGCCAGCTGGTGTCTGTGGGTGCTTAGCATGTGTGCAGTGCTGGTGTAAGTATTCAACATGGATTAGCTCATTTACCCAAAACCCTCATTTCGAGCCTAATGGGCTAATATCTTACACTTTAAAAATAAAGTGAAAAGCCAGGATAATGTCACCAAGAGATTGGACTGAATTCCGCCTGATGGTCCTGAGGTTCCTGCAGTTGATTTTTCTGACTCCTCTGTTCTCTGGTGACCGGAGTTGAGAAGTTCTTACCCTGCCTGTCTGTAGGACTCACTTGAGGAGCCTCTAAAAATCCTCATGTCCAGATCCTGGTCCAGCAAGATCCAGTTCTGGGGGTAGGGCCTGGGCATCAGCATTTTTTATCTATAGCTATGTAAAGAACGGGTTCCTCCATGTTCTCACCTCCCTCCCCAGAGTGGCTTCGTGCTCCTCAGTGGTTCTCTTCTGGCTTATTCCTTCTCCAGAGCACCTGTTCCTTCAGGCCTTCTGGCAGACCATGAATCGCGAGTGGACGGGCATTGACAGGCTGCGCCTGGATAAATTCTACATGGTGAGGCAGCCACCAGGGTGCCGGCGGGCGGGGGCAGCGCGGGTCTCAGTGCCTGGCCAAGCGAGACAGGCGGCACCTGGGCAGGGAGGCAACCTGAGGCAGTGCGACCCTGAAGCCAGGGGTGGGAGGTGGAGCCGAGACTCTGGGCGGTCCCTGACCAGGGCTCTGCAGCTTTGTCCAGTCTCTGAGGGTCATTGAATGGGCAAGGAATTCGACCCTTAAAACACCACACAAACTTTTGGTTCAGAGAAGGAAAGTGACGATTGCTCTCCTGGTGAGAGTCGATGGTGACACCGTTGTTACCTTGTCAAAGAGGCAGAGTGAGTCTGGAGGCGCAGCAGAGGAGCTGCGGTCACGCCCTAGCATGAGCCCTGGAGTGCTTAGCCTGCGAGGCTGGGATGGATGGTCACAGTGTGGGACTTCCTTTCCCTCCTCCCTCATTGTATCCCCGTTCAGGGCACTGATTTGCCCTGAGAATACAGGGGAACACTGGGGTTTAGAGGTGCAGCGTGTTGCTGCCCGGACCTGCTTCTCTCCTTCCCTCCTTCCCTCTTGTTGAACCATGAGGTCTCGTTACTAAGGTGGTGGTCATTGTAACCTTAGAGCAGGCCTGAGATACAGGGACATTGTCACTGTGTAGGAGTCGGTCACCCAATGGGGACACTGAAAGGGGCCATGTCCGGGTCTCACTGAGGACAGATGTTGATCTGCCACTCTGGCTTCAGTGTCCAGCTCAGATTCGGGCCAGGATTGTGCAGACAGCATATATACCAGTGATTCTAGAAGTGGAGACCAGGGCGGGAAAGGCCTGGAGCTCAAGAAGGAAGGAGGCTCCAGGGCAGGCCAGGGGCCCGGCCATGCACTCAGACAGAGTGCAGACTCTTAGGGACAATGGGGCTCTGCAGGGAGGCCACCCTACTGTTTTGCTGAGATGTGGCTGCTGGGTCCCTGGATGGATGCGTTCTGCTGCTTTCCATGGCTCGTTTCTGGGTGCCCCTTGTGTGGCTGAGTCCAGCAGCACAGCCTTGCGTCAGGGCTAGCCTCGGTGGCACCGCAGGGTGTTGTGGGGGATAGGCCTCCTGTGTCTGCAAGAACAGTGTCCGGGCTGCTGGGCTGTGCTCTGTCATCGGGGCTCCTGGGGGTCCGCGTGTCCTCTGCTGCTACTGACTGCAGCTCAGACCCCACTCTGGGCGTGTGGGCATGCTGGGTCAGTAGCCTAAAGGGGGGACAACTGCAGAAGGGTGTTGAGCCCCATGGAGGGAAATGGCATTGTTGATTCACGGGTGAGGCTTGGCGGGAGGGCCTTCGCTGTGTAGTGGACCGCAGAGGAAGTGAGCTACATTCTGCCCGTTGCGGGGGGTTTGGTGAGGACCAGCCGTGTTTCAGACCTGGTTTTGCGGAGGGCTCCACCGCCCGTGGGGGTAGCCGTGCCTCTTTCCTGGTTCTCCCTTATGAATCGGACTGTTCCGTTTCAGCCCCGGTTTATGGACTGGAGTCGTAGGACTGTCCCCTATTACCCCCGACCCCCCATGCACCTGCTTCCTGCCAGCTGGGGCCTTGGAGCCGGGGATAGGGCATGTTCTCAGCCCAGGGTTCTGAGGGCTTGGTGGTGTGTCCTCCAGCGTCTGTCTGTCAGCAGCTCTGGGGGCCGGCTGTGTGCTGGGGCCGGCAGAGGTCACCACGGCCATGACTTTATCCTGCAGCGGATGGTGGTACATGGGGATGGGTGGTCTGGCGAAGTAGGGCTGGGCTTCTGCTAATGCCAACCTCCTTCTGTGTCAAAGCTCATGCGGATGGTCCTGAACGAGTCCTTGAAGGTTCTGAAGATGCAAGGCTGGGAAGAAAGGTGGGTGCGCGGCGGGCCTGCTCTGGGGGGACGCTGTTCTCGGGGACCGCAGTCGTGTTTGTCATTTGATTCTTTGCCATAAGGAGATGTCAGCCTTTATATTAACGCATGCCCCCAATCGTGCTTAGAGAGAAGATAGTTTTTAAAGTAAAAATCAGTTTGTGTGTTTGTGGAAATGATGCCATTTATCCTCAGGCTTGGAGGCCAGTTCTCACTGGGAGTCAGAAGGGAGTTTTTTAATGAAAGGGTGTCCAGCCGAGGAGCTTCTTATAAAAACACGGCATGTTCCGCTTCATTAGCAATGCTTTTTGTTTTTTTGAAATAGGTGTCACTGTTGCCTAGGCTGGAGTGCAGTGGCGTGATCTTGGCTCAACTACAGCCTTGACCTCCCGGGCTCAAGTGATCCTCCTGCCTCAGCCGCCCAACTGGCTGGGACTGCAGATGTGCACCACCAGGCCCACGTAATTTTTGTATCTTTTTTTGGTAGAGACGAGTTCTGTCCTGTTGCCCAGGCTTGTCTCAAACTCTTGGGCTCAAACAATCTGCCTGCCTAGGCCTCCCAAGTTGTAAGCAATGTTAATTGCTCCTAATTCTAAAAATATGTAAATTGGCTGGGCGCGGTGGCTCACATCTGTAATCCCAGCACTTTGGGAGGCCGAGGCGGGCAGATCACAAGGTCAAGAGATCGAGACCATCCTGGCCACCATGGTGAAACCGTGTCTCTACTAAAAGTACAAAAATTAGATAAATGCATAGAAAAGAATTAGCAGGCTGGTTATGGTGGGTTAAGGGGATCTCTTGAGCCCAGGAGTTTGAGGCTGCAGTGATCTGTGACTGAGCCACTGCACTCTAGCCTAGGTGATAGAGTGAGATTCTGGTTTTTTGTTTTTTTTTTTTAAAGAATCAGCAGGAATTGAACTGTGGCTGCTGAGTTTCTCTAGGTTTGAGTTGCATGGGTGATTTTGCATTTAGGGCAGCGGTGCCTCTGGTTTGGAGGGATTTTCATTCTTCTATTCCCTGGCAGGACTCTGATGCCAGGAGTCTCATTCATTCTGGGCCTTAGCATTGTGGATTACCCCATAGGGGTCTCATGGCTTAAGCTGAATTAAATGTTAAAGGGATGATTTTACTTGTGTTAACTTTTTTTGGCATATTATTACAAGAGTACTTTTCTCCCTGTAACTGAGAATTCAGCACAGGAATCATGTGGAAGACCTCGGTGCCTTCCCCCAATGCCTGCTGCGGTCCCAGTGCTGACAGTGGGGTCCGCTCTTCCCGCCCTCTTGGATCTCCTGCAGGCATAACCAGGCTGTCATTAATATCCACGCCATTGCCACTGGCCTGGGAAGTCGGTCCCTTGCATCTGTGTGTCTTCCTCTTGGTCTCAGCACCTGTTCTTGCCTCTGTCTCGTTTTTCCTGAGCCTTAGAGAGCATCACTTTTCCTTTCCATCACGAGTGATTCTCCAGCCTTGCTACGGAGCTTCCTAAGGATCACACAGTTTACAGATCTGAGTTAGGCAGCTGCGTTATTAAGCACCCCAGGAGGTCCAGATGCATGTAGGTGCTACACATTATTCTCTGGGGCTGTCTAGTCTTCAGATCCAGGGCCTGTGATGCCATCAAACCCGCCTGCCAGGGAGAGCTCTGGTGGACGTCACAGTTGGAATGCGTCGTGCGGCAGGGCCCAGGAAGCCAGCAGGTGGCTCATGGTCCTCGGCCCCTTTCTGGGCCTCCACCTTCCTTTCTCTGCCTGTGCTGTCCTGACGTGTCTTCCCCAGCGGTACCCAGTGGAGGCAGTGGAGAGGAACACCAGGCAGGGCGTCTCGTCTCAGCCAAGCCTTTCTCTCTGCTAGCAATCTTGAGGACAGAGGGAAGGCCTGTCTGAATGTTTACACGTGCTGCATTTTGTAGCTGACATGCACACTCAGGCCATACGTTCTGGTGGTGGTGCTGGTCACATAACTCCCTAACTGCAAGACTGCCTTGCGCTGGAGGAGACCTAGGATCGTTGATATCATCTGCGTGGACTTTAAGGCTGGCATGTTTGCAGACAGTGGCGCCTGCCCGCACTTAGGTTCCCATCAGAGCGTGTAACCATGGGAGAGTGGGGGGCACGGCTGTCTTGGGGCTCATCGAGGCTGCCTGTCATGTTTGCTTTTTCTTTCCTCAGACAGATCGAGGAGCTGCTAGAGCTGCTGATGACTGAGATCCTGCACCCCAGCAGCCAGGCCCCCAACGGTGTGAAGAGCCACTTCATCGAGATCTTCCTGGAGGAGCTGACCAAAGTGGGCGCCGAGGAGGTGAGGCTGGGCTCCGACGGGGCGGTGGAGCTGGGCGTTTGTGGAGGAGGAACTGAGCTCCCGCTGGCTTTCCCCGTAGCTTACGGCAGACCAGAACCTGAAGTTCATCGACCCCTTCTGCAGAATTGCTGCCCGGACCAAGGAGTAAGTGGTGGGTGGCCTGATCGGGCCCGACTCCTTCACTGAGTTCTTCCATGGGGCTGCTGTTGTGGGGGTGCTGCTCCCTCGAGGGATGAATCTGTCTCAGAGTGGCCGCTGGCCGTGTGGGTGGGGAGAGGTTGCAGGGGAGTCGGCGGCTTCCGCTTGGGAATCCAGCATAACGGGCCTGCTCACCGGCCTCTGCTCTGCCCCTCAGTTCCTTGGTTTTGAACAACATCACTCGAGGCATCTTTGAGACGATTGTGGAGCAGGCCCCGCTTGCCATTGAAGACCTCCTGAATGAACTGGACACACAGGATGAGGAGGTGGCGTCGGACAGTGATGAGTCCTCTGAGGGTGGTGAGCGTGGAGACGCGCTGTCCCAGAAGAGGTCTGAGAAGCCGCCCGCAGGTGGGGGTCACACTGCGCCTGGCTTCTCCTCGGGGCCTGTCCTGGGCTGAGCCAGTGCGATCTCCTGCTGGGTTGCTCCTGCCACCTCCTACCTGGTCCCCTTGTCTCTGCCCCTCTCCACAGTCCATCCTCAGCATAGAAGCCAGAGTGACTTCTGTGGGCACCAAGCACACGTCGTTTCCCCTCATCCCCCAGCCTCTGATGTGCTCCACGCCCTCTCCGGACCCCTGGGCTCCTCGGTCTAACGCATGCCTCTGGCTCAGTTGGCCCCCTAGACTCGTTCCTGCCTTGGTGCCGAGTCTCTCCGTCCCTCCCACCGTCTCTCCCCCCATCACTCTCTGGGGCTGGACTCTTTCAGCCTCCTGGCCTCTCCCAGCCCCCAACGCAGTCCTCCCCATAGCGTCACTCTGTGGCACGGGATGTGAATCACTTGCTCCTCGTGTTCCTCGTTCCTGGCCCGTCTCCCCAGAGGACAGCAAGCTCTGTCCATATTGACCATGACTGGGTTCAGGCCTGAGACCTCAGGGCACCTGACTGCTCTGTGTGCAGTGTGTGTGAGGGGCAGGTGTACTCACCTGCCCCTCACTGCCTGCCAGAGGCCTCTGTGGGCAGCCGTGGGGTCCAGCCTGGCCCATTTTTTGTTTTGATGCTGCACTCATTGTCCGAGCCTGCTGGGTGGTCTGAGCTCTAAGTGTGGCATCCTGGTGCTGTGGAGGGCATGTCTTTGACCACGCTCAGGACCCCAGTATGCCCCAAATCAGTGCTGTGGCCACTGTTCCCCTTGGCTTCCTAATCAGAAGACCCCCTCCCCACCGCCCCCAGCACTTGGCCCGGCCACCCTGTATGCTTCTCCCTGGTCTCTGCCTTGCCCTTCTCTCTCAGTAGCTGAGGTGCCTGGCAGGTCCGCTAGTGCCTGCTGCTGGCCCCCTGCTGCCAGCTACAGAGCAGACCCTTGTCACATGCTGCCCCACAGCTGCCTGTTGCCCAAAAACCTTTCTTCTGCAGACAGTGCCATCAAAGCCCCAAATGCCCAGCCTAGCTCGAGCACCCAGCCGAAACATCAGCTCCCACAGCTTCTGGACCAGGCCACCCTGAGGCTCCTCACTTCCAGAACTTTTGACATGGCCTTTGTTGCCCAAGATGCCAGCTTGTAGTCAGCCACTCAGGGCTGTGTAGGCACCTGTGCCCTGGGACATCTTTTTTTCCTTTGCAGGCCTGAGGTGGCACCTCTCATCCTGTCCATACGAGATTAGAGGTCACATGGCACCTAGTATCTGCCTTGAGCTGTGGGCTTTCCCGCCTGTGCCCATGTTCTGACCAGGGTGCAGGGTGGGCTGTCCGTTCCCGGGTGTTTCCCGCCTGTGCCCGTGCTCCGACCAGGGTGCACGGAGCGGGCTCTCCATTCCTGGATGTTTGGGGCCAGCACACGTTGGGCACAGGTAGGGTTCACGGGGTCCCTTTTGTTCCAGGCTCCATCTGCAGGGCTGAACCTGAGGCTGGTGAGGAGCAGGCAGGTGACGACAGGGACAGTGGCGGCCCCGTTCTCCAGGTGGGTTCCCTGGGCTCATGGCTGTGCCCTCAGCCTTTGCCCCTCTGTGCTACCGCTTGCTCTGGAAGAGGAGGGGGGCGTTAGGAGGGAGGATGGCAGCTGTTGGCATGGAGAGTTACCCGGACAGGGGTTAGCTTTGAAGGAGGGATGGGTGCCCCAACCCTGCCCGCCTGTAGACGAGTGGGATCATTGAGAGTGGGGCTGGGGCCTGGGAAAGTGGGGCTGGGGCCTGGGAGGGTGGGCTCAGGCAGAACTGCATTATCCAGGGCTGGCCTCACCTCACGCTGTCCTCTTGCCTCACACATGGGCAGCCCCCCAGATTTCCTGCGGCCCCCTCGTTGGGGTGCTGGTGGGGAATGAGATGGCATGTGCCAAGCGGCTGGCCTGTGGGTCCCAGCGAGGAATCCACTCAGCCAGTGGGGTCTGACTTCAGGCAAATTGGAAACTTAAATGTTTTAAGTTTTAAATATGATTATCTGCAGACTGAATAAAATGTGGCTATCTTGGGTTAAAATTGATCAATTTAACCTATGTTGTTCGTGCTTGTCTGTGTGGTTCCTAGAGTGGTAAAGCTGCAGGCAGGCTACCGGCGGGCGTGTGCCCTGCAGTGTGCCCCGCAGTGTGCATCTTCCAGAGTGTGCCCCGCAGTGCGTGCCCCGCAGTGCGCCCGCAGCTTGTGTGGTGCCCGCTGTGCTGTAGAGTGGGTGGAGCTGCAGGACCCTCAGTGAGGGTGGGCTGTGTTCCTGTGAGCCGGGTGGAGAACCTGCAAGTGGGACCAAGTGCTATCTGGGTCTCAGGGGTTCCACGTTCTCGGAGCACGCAGAGCGTGGCTGACCTTGCCTCTGTGACGTCTCTCTTTTGAAACAGTTTGACTACGAGGCAGTTGCTAACAGACTGTTTGAAATGGCCAGCCGCCAGAGCACCCCTTCTCAGAACAGAAAGCGTCTCTACAAAGTGATCCGGAAGTGAGTGTGTGAGGGCGCTGCGTCCTCCCTGCTCCCCTTGGAGTTGCCCTTTCTTGCTCAGATCTGGGTGCCTTTGCCTTGTCCTGGGCCCTTCCGCAGCCCCCGGGGTGATCCCCGCTAGGACCCTGAGACCGTCCCCAGCCCCTGGGGTTCCCCTGGCTAGGAACCTGCAGCCGCTCTAGCTGGAGCTTCCTCCTCCTGCGGAAGCCGCAGCTGTGGTAAGTGGGTATCTGTCTTACTCTTTCAGGCTGCAGGACCTGGCAGGAGGTGAGGATCGGCCGGGCACTGACAGTGGCACCACCTTGGAGGTGGAGCTCCATCCTCGTGGGAGTGGTTTGGTTCTAGGGGTCTCATAGCACGTGGAGTCTCTTTGCAGAGAGGCCTGGTGGTGTTTCTGAGGGACAGGGAGGCAGGGCGCAGGGTTCCACAGCTCTCGTTTTTGTGGTTTTTGCTGAGTGGTTCTCAGACTTGAGTGTCCATTGGAGTGCCCCAGAGCCTGAGAGATGGGGTGCTGGCCTCAGGGGCTCCCAAGCACTGACCGCGGTGCTGCTGCTGGTCTGTTGGGCAGCACACGTCTGTTCTTGGCAGCGCGTGGCGGATGGAACTGGCATAGGTTATCGGAAGGACGGTTTCCTAGTGGGCGTCGATGGTTAGAGACGTAGGCGTTTCCCCTGGTGTTTCCTTATGAAAAGTTTCAGACCTGCAACTCAGTTGGAAGGATTTTATAGTGGATGTCTGCGTGTCCCTGCCGGCCTCCAGCATCAGCACTTCCTGTCCTTGCGTGAAGCTCCTCTATCCCAGCATCACACCCCTGCATCCGCCAGCGGGCGCGTCATCAGCTGTAGTCCAGGGTTTGGTTTTTTTATTTTTTATTTTTTGAGGCGGTGTCTCGCTCTGTTGCCCAGGATGGCGTGCAGTGGTGTGATGCAGCTCACTGCAGCCTCGATCTCCTGGTCTCAAGCGATCCTCCCGCCTCAGCCTCCCAGTCGCTGGGACCACAGGCGCACGCCACCACGCCGGCTAATTGTTGTATTTTTTGTAGAGACAGGGTTTCGCTGTGTTGCCCGGCTGGTCGTCTGGGGTTTTCGGGACAGCGCGCGTCAGTGAGGTGCGTGAGGATCGTGTGCATCTGGCAGGTTTTGATGCAGAAAGTTGCCTTGGGCCGCCAGCATGAGCATTGTAGGCTGTAGACTTTGGTGTACAGGTTGAGCGTCTCTAATCTGAAACCCCAAATCCAAAATGCCACCAAGTCCAAAGCTGAGTGCTGACAGGAAGCTCCAGGGAAATGCTCGTCGCAGTGTTTTCTGTTTGGGGTTTTCAGGTGAGGGCTGTTGAACTGGTGAATATGATGCAGACGTTCCAAAACAACCTGACATTCAAAGCACTGCTGGTCCCAGGCATTTGGGGTCGTGGACGCTCTATGCTGTACCTGTGTCCTGGATGCTCCAGGAACTGGCTTTTCCAGATGGGCTTGGGTCTCAGCTGGTTCGTTTCAGCTGTGGCGGGTACTGAACACGCTGCTCCTGGGCATTAGAACAGGGCGCTTTCTCACACACATTGTCAGGAGGTGGTGCTGGCTGGGGCCTGCTGGAAGCAGCGAGCCTCAAACCATAAGTCCCCAGCCCCCGAGAGCCCCCTGACTTCTGCCCTGGTTCTCAGGCATTTTCCCTGAAGATGAGATCCCAGAGAAGGCCTGCAGGCGCCTGCTTGAAGGGAGGCGGCAGAAGAAGACGAAGAAGCAGAAGCGTCTGCTCAGGTTGCAGCAGGAGAGAGGTAGGACTAGGGGGTGTGTTAGTCATGGAGCCGGCGTCCTCACCTGCTTGCTTCTCCCCTGGATGGGGGTCACCTGCAGTGTCTCCCCCTGAAGCATGAGTGCCGAGTCCCCCATCCTGGGTGCCTGCTATCCACGCATCCCGGAAATGCCCTGTCCTCGGCATCCCTCCTGTAGGCCTCTCCCTGCCTCCCCCACCCACCTTCCTTGTCTGCAGCTCCCCCGAGCTGTGTGCGCTGCCCTCCCTCCCGGTCTGGAGACATCCTCCTGGCTGGGCTGCCTCCTTCCGTGCCTCCGTCTTAGATCCAAGCCCCGTCCGCTCCTCTCCCGCACCCTCCAGAGATTCCTGAGTCTCTCCACGTCTTCCTTCCCCTTCTTCCCTCCACTTCTTCCCTCCACTTCTGTCCTTGATTTCTGGGGCTGCCTTCCGTGTTGGGCCTCTGGCCACACGAGTGTGGTTGGCATGTGATGCCCTCACCAGGGGCAACCCTGGGTCCGCGGCAGACCACTCAGGGCCTGGAGCTGCCTACCTGCAGTGGAGGGGGTTGAGCACAGTGCCGGGCAGGGCAGGGGGCCCATGGCAAGAATGGGGTGCAGAGGAGGCACATGGTGGCTTTGCCCCACACTGGGAAGCCTTCCCTGTTACTCTCTCCATGCTAAACTGGCCCCAGGGCCTAGGGATTCACCCCTTCCCTTGCCCAGAGCTCCGTGCCATTGAAGCCGTCCATCTCATTTCCCATGAGGCAGTGGCCTCCTCTTTGTAGCCGGCCCTTGGCTGTGTGAACCCTGTCGGCCCTGGCGTTCAGGACCTGGCACTGCCTGGCGTCCTGTTCTTCCACCTCCCCTTCTGCCTTGAGCCCAGTCCTGCCTACTCCTCTGTGCCTTTGCTCCTGGGTCTCATGACCCTGTCCTCACGCTGGTCCTTCTGAGGTCAGCCCTTGCTGAGGTCCTGAGCCGTGTGGATGGAGCTTGGCGCCCACACTGGACACGGGATGCGTCTGGCTGGCTGTTGTGGCCGTGTTGTCCTCCCAGGTCTGTGGTGCTGGCATCCTCAGCCTGAGTTGGAGTAAGTGGAAAGAGCCCGTGTTGGCATTCTCTGGCTCATGGGGTCTTGCTGTTTTGTCAGGGAAAGGTGAGAAGGAGCCCCCGAGCCCGGGCATGGAGAGGAAGAGGAGCAGGAGGAGGGGTGTAGGGGCCGACCCCGAGGCGCGGGCAGAGGCTGGTGAGCAGCCAGGCACAGCTGAGCGGGCCCTGCTCCGAGATCAGCCCAGGGGCCGTGGCCAGAGAGGGGCTCGCCAGAGAAGGAGGACACCTCGGCCCCTGACCAGTGCCCGAGCAAAGGCGGCCAATGTCCAGGAGCCGGAGAAGAAGAAGAAACGCAGGGAGTGATGTGGCCGGGCCAAGGACAGGCAGGGAGGGAGGCCAGGCCTCGCTTGCACCGCGGGACGAGGCTGACCGGGCTGTTCTGTAGACTCAGGACCGTGGCTCCAGAACTCCTGTGCCAGGCGGGAGGGAAGGGCGGCACTGGAGAGATGGGCCCATCATTAGGGGCCAGCATCCCAGGAACTGGACCTTTCCCCAGAGCCTCCGCCTGTGGCTGTGATGACCTTGGGCCAGAAGGTCAAACTCCGAAGACTGAAACTCTGCCTGCAGCAGGACTGGCCGCCCCTGCTGTGGGGGGTTCAGAAAATAAAATGCCGCGCAGCCCTTGCCAGGGGAAGTGTCGCTTCAGGTGTGTCCTACGGACGTGTGGGAGGTGGCAGGCGCCAGCCTCCGAGCAGTGTGGTGGTTTATATTCATGTTTGTGGAAAAATCTTGCAAGACATTTCTCCTTTCACAGAACTGCCCAGGTGTTAACAGGGCTGTCTGGACGGGGCTCTTTTGCTTCCCCCTCAATCTGGGGTCTAGAGTTGTGCAAGGAATTCAGCTCCAGTAAGGCCTGGATTGCCCGGGGTGAGCGTGTGTGTGGTGGGAAGACCTGGCTTCCGCGAGAGCCTTGTTCCTGGAGGCAGGAGCGCCCCGCCATCCTGGGTACCCGCGGGTCCGCAGGCTGCGCACCTCTTTCCCTCAGCCAGGTCACCCTCAGCGTCCTCCCTGCCCCTCTCCCCTTCACACCTGCTGGAGCCTGTGAGGGAGGTGGCGGGTCCCCACTGTGGCGACGGAGAGCTGACAGTAGCCCAGGGCTTTCCACCTGCATGGAACAAGGGCCTGTCTGCCGCCAGCGCTGTGGCCACAGCCTGCATAGGTGACAAGGGGCCGCTGCGTTGGGTTTTGCCCGCATCTTCTGTTCCATGGGTGCCCAGCCAGCCAGGCCGTGTGGGATCCAGCGAGAGGCCAGGGCTTGGAGTGGGCCTGGGACCAGGAAGGACCTCTAGGCTGTGGCTGGCCTTGTGCAGACCCTGGACTGCATCCGGTTCCCCAAAGCCCTGCTGCATTCGAGTGTCCCCCAACCCCGGGCAGGTGGCACCTGGTGACACCTCCTTCAGTCCCACTCAGCTGGGCGGCCGGGGCAGGCTTAGGGCACAGTTAGGGGCCAAGGAGAGGGAAGGCCAGGGCCCCTGTTCTAGGGGTTAGGGTTCTTTCCCCAAAGGAACTTAAAAAGACAAGCGTGGCCAGGCACAGTGGCTCACACCTGTAATCCCAGCACTTTGGGAGGCCGAGGTGGCCAGATCACCTGAGGTCAGGAGTTTGAGACCAGACTGACCAACATGGAGAAACCCCATCTCTACTAAAATACAAAATTAGCCAGGCGTGGTGGCACATGCCTGTAATCCCAGCTACTCGGGAGGCTGAGGCAGGAGAATTGCTTGAACCTGGGAGGCAGAGGTTGTGGTGAGCTAAGATCACGCCATTGCACTCCAGCCTGGGCAACGAGAGGGAAACTCTGTTTCAAAAAAAAAAAAAAAAAGACAAGCGTGTCTAACGTAAACTGCCGGTGGCGAGCGTCAGGTCTGGGCAGTGTCCCCTGGGCCTGGTCAGTGTTCCCCTGGGCCTGGCCTCTTTACCCCCAGCAGGGCCTGTTGGGACGAGCCCCTGCAGTTGGAGGCCTTTGGAAGGGAACGGGGTGCATTATAACGCTTTCTTGTTTTTGAAGTTTCTTTGGTCAAAAGCTAAGGAAACAACCATGCTAACAGAAGTTTCTGGAAAAAAGCAAATTAGAGATGCCGAATTGCAGTTGTGAAACTGGAAGCCACAGTGACTTTGCATCTTCTTTCACATGTGTGTTCACAGGGAGGGGTTTTTCATGGCTGCGCCGGCACTGTCACGCTCTGGCTGTTTCCAGGCCCTGCTGGGTGCACGTTTCCCCATATTCAGAATTGTTTTAAATAACCGCATTGTGCTTATGACATGAATGACTGAATTCCTCTCCTATTGGTAGCCTCTTTTACTTTTTTATTTTTTTATTTTTGAGACTGAGTTTTGAGTTGAGTTTTTTTTGAGACCGAGTTGTTTTATTTCCGCACATGAATGGTAGTTCCAGCTACTCAGGAGGCCAAGGTGGGAGAAGCGCCTGAGCCCAGGAGAGAACCATCGAGAGGTAATTCACATGGAGTA
This sequence comes from Homo sapiens, assembly GCF_000001405.40. Classification (NCBI taxonomy): domain Eukaryota; kingdom Metazoa; phylum Chordata; class Mammalia; order Primates; family Hominidae; genus Homo; species Homo sapiens. The sequence continues at coordinate 43,805,941 of NC_000021.9, forward strand.
CAGTTCGCCCAACTGAAGTGTGTAATTCGAGTTTTCAGCATATTCAAAGTTGTACAGCCATCACCACAGTCAACTTTAGACCATTTTCAGCCCAAAAGAAACTGGGCCATCGCCCCTCTGTCTCCCCGCCACCTGCACGCATCCTCCCGGCCTCAGGTTCCGGGCCGTGTCTGTTCTGGCCATGTGTTACGGGATCACGCAGCACCGTGGTTCCAGGGCTCATCCACACTGGAGTCTTTCCTTCATATGGCTGAGTGACATCCCACGGTACAGACAGTGCATTGCATCTGCCCGTTTGTCCACTGATGGACGTTTGGGGTGTTTCCGCCTTTGGCCGTCTTGAGTCACGCTGCTGTGTAAGGATGAGTTTGCAGGGGATGGATGCTTTCATTCCTCTGGGGCAGATGCCTAGGAGTGTCATGGCTGGGTTTTGGGCTCACCATGTCTAGTCGGTTGAAGAACTACTTTCCAGACTTTTCTACAGTGGCTGCATGCGTTGAGTTGAGCCTCGGGGATGGGCCCCTGTCTGGGTGTTCTGCTATGGCCAGGCTGATGGGATCCCAGGAGGTGACTCTTCTCAGGACACTTGGCCCAGCCACTCTGACTTTGTGACCAGGACGGGAAGCACCTGTGGTTCCACTCGCCTGCCTGTGGAGTGGGAGTAACAGCACAGGGCTGGGATGAGGATGATGTTGCTTTTTCCTGGAAAAACAATCTCTCAACCTTACAGAAACATTGCAGACACACAGCATTTCTCCCCCGAGCCTTTTGAGAGCATTTCCTGACTTGGTGCCCCAGCACCCTGGATACTTTGTGGCCCATTTCCTCCTACAGAGACATTCCCTTAACCACAGCACAGTGGTCACAGAGGGAGCTAGAGCCAGGTGTGGTGGCATGTGTGTAGTCCCAGCTACCCTGGAGGCCAAGGCGGGAGGATCGCTTGGGCCCATGAATTTGAGTGAGCCTGGGCAACATCAAGACCCCGTCTCAAACCAGGAAAAATCAGGGAATTAGCGTGGATACCTCACTGTGTCCAACCCTCGAACCCTCAGTCCTTGGTTGTCTCAGTGAAGTCGTTTGCAGCCCTAGGGCCCTGTTCAGATTCTCTCATTTCTCTGAAGATCTCTAGCTCCTGTGAGGGGAGGGTGGTGTTTAGAAGCCGATCTGGCTGGGCCCTTGCTATTCCGATCTCATTGTTCACAGGTGTTCTCAGCTGGCAGAGCTGGGGCAGTGTGTGCACAGCGCATGCCTGTTCTCTACCTGTCCCGCCAGCCACCCTCCATCTGTCTAGATTAAGGTCTTCAGAAAAAACAGAACCAATGAATGGGTTTTGTGTCTGTCCACTCCAGCTGCGAGAACAAAATAGTAGGGACTGGGCAGCTTAGGCCTGGGAGGGTGAGTTTCCGTTCTGGAGGATTCCGAGGGAGTGTCGGCAGAGTTGCTTTTCCTGGGCCCCCTCCTTGGCTTATCTTAATCAGTGGCCACCTTCTCACGGTGTCCTGACCATATTTATTTTTTTTTGGAGAAAAAGTGTCGCTCTGTCGCCCAGGCTGGAGTGCAGGGGCACCATCTCAGCTCACTGCAATCTCCGCCTCCCAGGTTCAAGCGATTCTCCTGCCTCAGCCCCTGAGTAACTGGGATTACAGGTGTGTGCCACCACGCCTGGCTAATTTTTGTATTTTTAGTAGAGATGGGGTTTCACCATGTTGATCAGGCTGGTCTTGAACTCCTGACCTCATGATCCTCCTGCCTCAGCCTCCCAAAGTGCTGGGATTACAGGCGTGAGCCACTGCGCCGGGCCGTCCTGACCTCCCTTACAAGGATGTCAGGAAGGTTGGACTGGGGCCCAGCCCTGTGATCTCATTTAACCCTGGTCACCTCCTTAGAGGCCCCATCTCCAGTCACACGGGGAGTTAGGGCTTCAACATGTGCTTGTCAGGGGATACAGTCCTGTCCATAGCAGGCGTGTGTGTGTGGTGGTGGCGGAGGGGAGAGTGCCCTGTTTGTTGTGAGGAGTCGGCTCACAGGACTGGGGCTGGCAGTTGGGAGTTCTGCAGGGCAGGCGGCCGGCTGGAGACCCCGGAACGTCCTCAGGGGCGGGGACCCCGGTCTTTTAAGTCCTTGACCAGGCAGACTGGATGAGGCCCCCTCTGCAGAGGCCCACCTGCTTTCCTTAGTCCACCGATTCAAATCAGCCTCATCCTGGAAACACCCTCAGGAACATCGGGGCGCTCCACCCGAAGCTGGGTGCCGGGGTCTGCTGCAGCGTTGGCCGCTCACTGTCTTATCGGCTGCCTATGCCTGCCCCACTCGTGTTAGGAGTTGACCTCTGGGAGAGGCGGTGCCTCCAGCTGTGATGGACACCCAGGGTGTATTCTAGGGTTTCCCTTCTGTGTTTGAACCTCCCTTTGCCGAAGGAACTCTGGCTTACATTACCCCCGATACTCACTTCATGCAGAACCGAGGCCCGGAGTGGGTGCTGCGCCCCTTCCCGCGTGGGTGCCCTCCTCACCTTCGGCTCTGCCACCCCCGCGGGAACCCTCCTGCCTGGTCACCTGCTTTCACACCCAGCTGCGCCACCTCCTGCAGGGCCCCCGGTTCCTGTGGGGCTCTGACACCAGGACACCCGCTCTTCACCCAGCCTGGGCCGCCGTGGCCCCCCGCCCCTACGGTGCAGCTCTGCCCTTGTTGGCCCTGTCTGAGGCTCCCGAGGGAGCTTGAGGGAGCTCAGGGGTGCCTGGTGAGCGGGGGTCTCCTGGATGCTCCTCTTCCAAGCTCAGAGGCTGACCTGGCAAGTGGCAGCACCCCACCTCCCCATTTGAAGCCCACAAGGAGGAAGAAAAGAAACTTCTTGACTCACCCATCACGGAGACCCACGGCCATCCCGAGAGGTGTGGCCACGTGAGCAACAACGCTCCACGCTGGGTGTGGGCGAGGGTCTTCCAGGGACCCTAAGCCTTCTTAAAGAACAACTTGGAGATGTACTTCATGCAGCGTTCAGTTCCCCGTTGCGGGTGCACAGTCGGGCGGCCGTGCACTGCAGCACAGCTCATTGTAGAGCATCTCAGCGCCCCAGAGAGCAAGTCCCGACGCAGGGCCCCCTTTACCTGGAGGTGACTCCGGGGAGGGGCCTGTGGACTCGCAGGGTGGTGAGGCGAGTGTGTGCATGTACAGCTTCCTCCCGCAGCCAAACGGTCTAGAACAAACATGCTGTGTCCTCGCTGACTTCAGAGCTTCAGTAGCAACCCACGCCACAGCTTCACAGTTGACAGTTGTCACAGGCTCTGCTCGGAGGTGACGTTCTGGGGACTGAGCAGCAGCTCTGGAGTTACAGACTTAGAGGGGCCGTCTCCGGGCCCCCCTGCTTTTTCCTCCTCGCCTCGGTACCAGTAGATGGAGACGCCAGTTGCAGTCCTGCCAGCCCACAGTGGCTCACGTTCCAAAGGCTCTTCCCTGCAGGCTCTCAGCCAGCCTGGGTCACTAGAGGTGCCCATTTTCCTGCCTGGCATGGCTGAGCAGAGCCAAGAAACAGCCTTGAACCCCAAGACCTCTCCCTCAGCCAGAATGTTCTCTGCGTGAGCTTCTCATGCTCAAATATGACCGTGACCTGTAACATCTCCCGGTAGGCCTTGCGGGAAGTAGAGGCATTGCACGGGCGAGGGAGGTAAGCAGGGAGCAGCCCCCGGCGAGGGTAGGCCCTGCAGCTGCGGCAGGGGTGAGGGGAGGGGCTGAGAGGTGGACGGCAAGTCAGGCAGCGCCCTGGGTGTTGTGGGGCGGTTCACGCAGGGGTGTGACCTGGCCAGGCAATTTTGGACCCACTTCCTGGCCGTGGGATCGAGGGTGGGTTTGGGGACAGTTCTGCCAGCAGCCCCGGGGTTGGAACATGTCTCACAGAACTTCCACTGTTGCATATACTGCCTTATAAAGATAGACCGGTAATGGGGACTGTCCCCCCTCATTAGCCCGGAAGTTCCCCCAGAGGGCACAAGACCCCACGCGGTGATGTTGAGGCCTGGACGGTGGTGGTGGATGAAGAAGAGGCCTGGTTTGCAGTGTGTGTGGTGCTGTGGCCTACCAGGAAGAGGGCCCAGGAGTGGGCATGCATGTGCCCAGCCCCCAGCCCACGTGGTAGGGAGCCGGCCCCACAGCCATAGCCTGGAGTCTGAAAGGGAACATCTCCATCTCTGATGGGGACCTTTTCCCCAAATGGACTCTTCTACCGTGAAGAGAACGGCAATGGCCAGCGCCGCGGTGAGCTGCTCGGAGATTATCCCCACAAGCATCACTTACCTCTACACAGGGCTGGTTTTACTTCCTGAACCGGATTCGCCGGAAGGAGCTGCAGGAGACTGCCTCGGAGTCTTCCCGCAGGGACCATCTCCCCAGCGTGCGGCCTCTCCCCTGTGTAGCCTCTCCCCCATGTGACCTCTCCCCCTGCGGCCTCTCCCCCTTGTGACCTCTCCCCTGCGTGTCCTCCCCCATGTGACCTCTCCCCTGCGTGGCCTCTCCCCCGCGTGGCCTCTGCCCCATGTGACCTCTCCCCCCTGCGGCCTCTCCCCATTGTGACCTCTCCCCTGCATGGCCTCTCCCTTGTGTGGCCTCTCCCCCATGTGACCTCTCCCCTGCGTGGCCTCCCCCATGTGACCTCTCCCCTGCGTGGCCTCTCCCCCGCGTGGCCTCTGCCCCATGTGACCTCTCACCCCGCAGCCTCTCCCCCTTGTAACCTCTCCCCTGCATGGCCTCTCCCCCGCGTGGCTTCTCCCCCGTGTGGCATCACCCGTGGGTTCTCATTGCATGGAGCCCTGGCCCCTTACTGTGGGTGAGGAGTAGGGGGAGGATTGGCCGTTGGGTTCTGGGTTCCGCAGTCCACCGAGGGCAGTCTGGCCCTCTCTGTGCCTCCCCCAGGGATGTTGCCGGCCCTTTGTCCCCTTCTGTCACGTCCCCTGTCACCTGCCCTCTAGGACCTGCATGGCTGCAGTCCCACCAGCTGCCTCTGGGGGGTGCCCATGGCCCTGGAATGGGCTTGGGGGAGAACGCGCCGCCCCGGGGCCTCCAACCCTTTGCTCCAGGCCACTTGCTCCACCCTCTCTTGCTGCCCCGTGTGACCCAGGATCTGTTTGGGCGAGTGCCTCGTTCTCTCCCTGAGTGGAGCTTCTGCAGGTGCTTCACGAAGGCTGGCACCCACCTCTACCTGTGTACCACGGCCTGGGATGGACCCTGCAGCTGTGGCCCTCCTGGCACTATCCCTACCCTGTGCCCTGGTGGGTGTGCAGTGGGAACAGGCACCCTGGGGTCCTTGGAGGCTCAGCCTCCTCAGCCCTCACCCCCGAGACCCCATCGTGGCGCCTGTGTCCACTCAGGGATTATCCCAAGCCTGGCCAGAGGTCGGGAGGGGACAGAGGGAGCCACATAGGAGCCTCTACCAGCCCCTTTCTTACCACGGGGTGGGGGCGCTTCCCTCCCACAGGGTCTCAGGCTTGTGGGCTCCCCCCAGCTGCCCAGGCCCCAGAGGGCACTTCTGACCCTTCTCTTTGGGGTCTGCCCTGGGGGGCTCCAGGCCACTTGCTCCACCCCATCCCTCTTCTGGAGCCTCCCAGCACCTCAGTTCCGACTGTGGGGAAAACAGAACCCTAGGAAGCAACCTCACGGCTGTGGGCAGGGGAGGGCGGCCGGGAGCCCCAGCTGCCCCACAGGGACATTGAGTGAAGGCAGAGCCTGGGAGGGAAGTCAGATCCGTGCATGGGTCCCTTCCTGTTGGTGTTGGCGTCCCTGAGTGAGCAGCCATCCGCCGCCCCCTGGAAAGAGACCTGGAGAAGCAGCTTCAAGCTTTGGAGCCCAGCCCAGCTGCTAGCAGCCCCTGGGTCACAGTGCGAAGGGGGAAGGCAGGGGCTTGAGGAAGAAAGTGAGAGGATTGTGCCTGGGGGCCCCTGGAGGGCCAGTCTGGAGGCGCGTTGGGGTGAGGCGGTGCTGGCTGTGCCCGTCTGAGATGGGCAGAGGGAAGGCGCCCAGGGCTGAGCCCAGGGTCCCCAGGCCAGTCCCTCACTGCTCTGGGGTTCAGTTTCCTCACCTGCACAAAGGGCGGGTCCCGTGCTCTCCGGAGGCCACACGGGGTCTCCCTGAGGCACTGAGTCTGGCTTGTTTCTGGAAACTGAGGCACAGGAGGACGTTGATAACCGGCCTTCCTCTGTTCTCTTTCCCAGGGGTGCAGCTCGTCCGTCCCATGGTTTCAGATTTGCCCGGTGTGTTGCAACCACCACCTGGCACTCAGCTTGCCCGGTGCCGCCTGGCCCCGCAGCCTTTCCCAGGCCTTGCAAGGGTGGCACAGATGGGGAAACTCCATCTGCAGGGGCGTCACCCCCGAGGGATGTGTCCTCCACACTCCCTTGATGGTCACGTGGGTCCCGGGAGGGCGCGTGTGACTCTTCCCAGGATTGCAGCGTTGGGGCGTTGTGCCAGCCTGGCCCCGTGGGTGCGGAGTGCCGTGGACCCCTCGGCCCTCCTGACCTTGTTTCCCTTTGATGTAGAAGTCTGCATGGCATGAATTCCAGTGACAATGGGCCGGGCCAGGCTCCCTGTGCCCCTGGTACCGCTGCCCAGGGCCGGTCTCTGCAGTCACCCTCCTTCCTTCCTGGTGGCTCCTCCCTCCCTCCTTTGTTCTTCTTTCTTTTCCTGCCTAAATGTTTATCGAGTCCCTCCTGCATTAAGTACCCGTGCTGTGCAACAAATTACCTTGAACTTGGTGACTTCACCACCACTGCATGTCAGCGCCCAGCCGTAGACGAGGGTTTGGGAGGCATGGCTGGGCCTGCCCAGGGCTCCCTGGCTGAAGTGGGTGCTGAAGCTGCCAGGCACTGGAGGCTGGGCCTCTCGCACACTCCCTGGCTGTTGGGAGGGTGCATTCTTCTTTCTTCCTTGTCTTCTAGAGGATGCACTCTTGGCTGTAGGCCTCCCGTTTCTCTCACGGGCTATTCCTGGGGTTCCCTCAGATCCTGGAGGTGCCCACAGCCCCCTTCCCCGAGGCTCCCCCCCCCACACACTTTGCTTCTTCAGTGCCAGCAGGAGAAATTCTCCCTCATCAGCTTCCTCAGAGAAGGGCTCACCTGGTCAGGTCAGGCCCCGCACTCGGGCAGGCACAGCAGGGCGCACCCCATGACGCACCCAGAACCCGCCCCCACAGCCCCGGAGTCCTGGCCGCTGTCCCCAGCCCTACGCCCCTCTCAGAGCTTGAGCCAGGGGCAGCGCAATGGGCAGCTCCTTCCCTCTCCTGTCCCTGGAAAACTGCTCTGGGTGATTTGGCGGAGAGTGAGAGGATTCGAAAACGCTGGTACGTGGCAGGGGCTGGCAGATTCCAAAAGTGGCCCCAGACTCCCTGGACACCCAGACCATCCACCTGGTGCCACAGTACCTGATTCCCATGGCCAGGGCATTGGGGAGCCAGGCAGGGGCAGGGGAGGGGCGTTCCAGGTCCTCCCTCCTTGCCTTGACCTACATCCCAGGTGACCCAGCGAGGCCCAGGCCCCCGCCCAGTCTGCCCCGCCTCACAGTCAGGCTTCATCCTCATCCCCAGCAGCCCCTGGGCCCCCCATGTCACCCTCAGGGCACTTGAGGGCAGGGTCAGGCCAGACCAAGTGTGGGGCCTGGCCAGGAGCAGGTGGTGCCGGGGAATGAGTATAGGGCTTATGGTGCCGTGGCCTGTCTGCTGCCTGGTCTGTCCTAAGGCCAGTGGCCCTGTCCCTAGGCTGTGGGGCACAGGTCCCATTCCCCGGGGGAGTGAAGGGCTCAGGCAGCAGGCAGCCCCGTCCCCTCCCCTAGGGTGTGCCTGGGTGACTCCTGGGCTGGCCGACTGGGAGCTAGCCTGAGTGTAGGTTTTGAGTCTGAGCACCAGGTCCTCACCCTGCCCCTGGCACCCCTTGGGCACCTCCTGGCACCCTGTCTGCTTTGTGCCACTTGCCCTGGGGTCTGTCCCTCCCTTGGACAGACAACAGTGTCCTACTTTTTTTTTTTTTTTTTGAGAGAGAGAGTCTCGCTCTGTCGCCCAGGCTGGAGTGCAATGGCATGATCTCGGCTCACTGCAACCTCCACCTCCTGGGTTCAAGCGATTCTCCTGCCTCAGCCTCCTGAGTAGCTGGGATTACAGGCACACGCCACCATGCCCAGCTAATTTTTATATTTTTAGTAGAGACGGTTTCACCACGTTGGCCAGGCTGGTCTCCAACTCCTGACCTCATGATCTGCCCGCCTTGGCCTCCCAAAGTGCTGGGACTACAGGCGTGAGCCACTGCGCCCGACCCATAATGTCCTACTCTTGCCTGAAGGCTCTGAGCCGTTCGGGTCTCCTGGACACGGAGAAGCCACAGCCCAGTGCCACCTGTCCTTTTCTCTCCGCTGCTCACAGGGGCCGAGGTCTGCACACCCATGGCTGCCCCAGGCTGCCCGCCAGGAGCTGCCTTTTCCCTGGCCAGGCTGTTTCTCAGCCCTGCGGTTCCCAAGGAAACGGGCTTCCAGGCAAGCCCGGGTGGAGTTCACTTTTCTCCCAATTGGAATTCGGCTGAATTGAATCCAGCCTCTGCTCCCCTCACCTCCGCATCCTGAATTTCTGCTCCCAGCTCCCTCGGCCTGGGTCAGGTTGGGTGGGTGGTGACACCGTATTCTGGCCCTTGGGGTTTAGGTCAGAGGTGCTGGGGCCTGTGTGGGGTGATCATGGCACTCTGCGGAGAGGGAGGGAGCCAGGCCAGGAGGTCGGCTTGGCTGGAGACAGCCTGGTCCCACTGGGAGCCCTGGAGCACCTGGAGTTGGGCTGGCTGGGGCAGGAAGGTTGTCTTTTGGGCACCCCTCCAACCCGTCAATCAGCCGTGGGCTGCCCTTCCATTGAGATGTGGGGAAAACCTTGATGAGGTTTGTTCAAGGTGAATGTTCGTGAGGTGTGAGCCACTGCGCCTGGCACATGATGTCCTACTCCTGCCTCTCGCCTCAGGCAAGGGTCCGCAACAGCCGGGCTCAGCCTCTGTTTTGGAGGGAGGAAGGAAGGAAGCAGGAAGACTACCTGAAGCCCCCAGTAAGTGCAGTGGAGAAGATAGAGCAAGGTGAAGGGTTGGCCGTGTGGAGGGCGAGTGTGCGGTCAGGGGAGGGCTTCTTTGGGCAAATATTTGACAGAGGCAAAGCCGGGAGCCAAGTGGATATTTGGGGCAGAGTGGGGTTGGCGGCAGGAGTAGCCAGTGCCAAGGCCCTGCAGGGGTGCACGGGTGTGTAGACCGGTGAGAGGGCGTGGCAGCAGGGGAAAGGGGGGTGGGCGGGGGGGAGGGGGGGCGACCGGTGAGAGGGCGTGGCTGCAGGGGAAAGGTGGGTGGGCGGGGCGGGAGGCGACCGGTGAGAGGGCGTGGCTGCAGGGGAAAGGTGGGTGGGCGGGGCGGGAGGCGGCCGGTGAGGGGGCGTGGCTGCAGGGGAAAGGGGGGTGGGCGGGGCAGGGGGGCGGCGGGGAGAACAAGTGGCCCCATCCTTTGAGGCCGCTGTGTGAGTCTGCTCTGGTGGCCGTGACAAAGGACCACAGGCTGGGGCTTCAGCAACCCACATAGATTCTCCCACAGTCCCGGAGGCTGGGGCCCGAGGCCAGGGTGCAGTGGGGCTGGCTCCTGAGGCCTCTCTCCTGGGCTGGCACCTGGCGCCTCCTCCCCGTGTCCTCACAGGGCCGTTTTCCTGTGTGTCTGTGTCCTCATTGCCTCTTATAAAAACACAGGTAGGTTGGGTGGGGTCCACCCAAATAGCCTTATTTTAACTTAAAAAACTTTTCATGTTCTGGCTTCTCAATTATTTTTTTTTAATTAAGGTATTTGTGACACTTAAAGATCATATATTTAAGATACAATTTGCTGATTTACAATCTAATTTTAATCTAATCTCCTCTCTTAAGACCCTACCTCCAAATACAGTCACAGCTGGGATCCTGGGGGAGTTAAGACTCCCACGTTCGGATTTTTGAGGGACACAGTTTGGCCCGTGACAGTCCCTTGCTGTCTGAGGGACACAGTTCGGCCCGTGACAGTCTCTGCTGTCTGAGGGACACCGACCCCCTGTGCGTTTCCTGTCTCCAGCTGCCTGTGTCGGTCACACATGTTATTCTCACGCGCTGGCCCTGGTCACCTGGTCCCCTCCGCACCCTGGGCACATGCCGGCCTTGGTCACCAGGTCCCTTCCGCACCCTGGGCCGTGCCGCACTTGGGTGGCATTTTGGGTGGAGCAGCCCCGGCCCCTGCCTCCCTCTCCTGCTGAGGGTTAACGGGGCCTGATCTCTGGGTGAGCTGCTGTGCCCTGTGCACTTCCGCCTCCAGGACCCTCAGCCACCACCAGGGCACAGCCCAGCTCAGCCAGGTGGTGAACGGACACAGGAGCTACTGGGGAGATTTGGCCCCAGGTCAGGTCCTGGCCTTGGGCGTGTGGCCCTTGTGGGGCCAGAAAACCTGTCCCTACCGCCCAGCAGGTGCTAGGGGATGACATAGCCCCTCCTGGACATAGGCCCTCCTGCCACTCTCCCCCTGACCAGGAAGTCACCCCCAACTGCCCCTCTGACACTTTCCCTGTGAGAGGCAACCAGGCACCCCACAAAGCCTGCTGTGGGTTCTCCCAGACCCAGGCTGGAGGGACTGACCCATCAGCCACCTCCCCTCCACCCCTCCCCAACCCCCCTGGCCCCAGACAGCCTCTGTCCACGAGGGGTGTGCCCCCGGAGCTGGCCACAGCCCCAGCAGGGACGGCAGCTCTGTGGGGCTGGTGGGGGGTGCCTCTGCAGGGCACAGGTGGACAAGAGGCCTCTCCTGCATGGCCTGCAGGAGGCCCAGCCTAGGAGGAGGGCTGAGGGCACCAAACGAGGCAAAGCCTGGGGGACCATGGTTGGGGTGGCCAAGGAAAGAAGGGGGGCAGCAGAGAGCGCCATCTGCTGCAGGCTGAGCTCAGGACGGAGGTCTGGGCACACTTGGCTTGGGGCAGGTGGCCGCCTTGTGTGGGTCGAGGAGGTGCAACCTGACCTGTGACCCAGTCCCTGGTTCTGAGGTCACAGCGAGGCCACTGGAGACCTCAACTGGCCGGGCCGTTCGCCGTGCAGGGTGGCTGCAGAGACCCGCTCAGCAGGTGCCCACTGTCACCCGGCCGGAACCAGCAGGCAGGCGTGGCAGGACAGACCACAGGGAGGATGCTGGAGGGGCCAGGGAAGCACATTTAGCACACTTGGGGCTGCCTGTGGTCTGACGCCCCAGAGGGTGACACCTTTCGAGGCTCGAAGGCAGCTCAGGGCAGCTCCTCCCACACAAAGGCCTCCTCTGGGCTGTGAGGGTCAGTGTTTCTCCTGGGGCCCAGCCCTGGGGCCTCTTTGCATGCCCTCTGGGTGCCGGCTCAGGAGGGCACTGGCCCCAGGCCTGGCTCCGCCCCAGAAACCGGGTGGCTGTGTGTTAGCTGGGCAGTGGCTTCTGAGGGGCTGTACCAGGAGGCTCAGTGGGCATCCCCAGGGCTTCTCCTCAGTGCTGTGGTCCCACCCTAGACTGGGTAGCCAGCCTGGCGCCCTCCTCCCACATAGTGTCACAGACAGGCCCACCGACCCTGTGGGCTTGGGGTGGGACAGCCAGGATCCCAGTCTCGGCAAGGCCTGGTACGGTGGGCGTCTCAGCTGCAGCCAGCATTGTGTCCGCCCCCTCCGCGAGGCAGTGTGTTTGTGATCAGAGCAGGAGTGTAGCCTGCTGGTTTCGGTACACGTAGAATGCGTGCCAGTGCACGCTAGCAGCATCTGTTGTGTTCCTTGTGCGGCAGCTCCATGCCATGGCCAAGGTCTCAGTCTCTGTCCTGCTGATTGCTGGAGCAGGTGTGGTGGCCCATGTCCGAGGACGGCTGTGTCCTGGAGAGGTGGGCAGGGGCTGGGTTCATCTGCCTCTGGAGCCTGCTGGCAGCCTCCTCCCGGGTTTCATGGCTGGCAATCATGAAAGCTGCCTCGATGGTGGCGGGGCCCTGTTGATGTCAGATTGGCGTGGCCTCCTGAGAGTTCCTCCTGTGGGTGTGCGCAGGGCTTGCATGTGCAGGAAATGGACTCACCCTGGAGCTGGGCCCCCAGGGGCTGCCCCGGGCCTGGGTGGGGGCCGTGCCCTTGTCTGTCCGTCTCTCTGTCAGTCTGGCTTCTTCCTCTCCAACTCTACCTCTTTTGGGGTCTCCTTTCTGCTCTGTGTCACCCCGGATAGCTTCTCCAGTGTGGAAGCTTTAACTTTCTGTTGTGTGTGTTTTTTGTTTTTGTTTTTGTTTTTTTTTTAGATAGGGTCTTTCTCCATTGCCCAGGCTGGAGTGCAGTGGCGCAATCTCAGCTTACTGCAGCCTCAACCTCCTGGACTCAAGCGATTCTCCAGCCTTAGCCTCCTGAGTAGCTAGGATTACAGGTGCACACTGCAATGCCCAGCTAATTAAAACCTTTTTTTTTTTTTTTTTTGTAGAGATTGTGGTCTCACAATGTTGCCTAGGCTGGTCTCAAACTCCTGAGCTTATGTGATCCTCCTGCCTTGGCCTCCCAAAGTGCTGAGATTCCAGGTGCACACAAACGCACACAAGCACACATATGCACATAGACACACAAGCAGATGCAGACACACACAGACACATACATGCATGCAAACACACATACACGTGCACACACTCATACACAAGTCCACACAGGCACTTCCTGTGATCTCCAAGCCTGAGGCTTTATGCTTGGTGGGTGGGGTCTGCCTCCACCCTCTGTCCAGACCAAGGACCCCCTCAGCCTGCAGAGCAGTGCTGCAGCTTCGGGAATGTGCTGTGTGAGCTCCCTTCTGTCTTAGACCCCCTCTTCCCTCTGAGCTCTGCGGTTGGAAGGTGGAACTTCTCCTCCTCCTATTTTCCTCCCCAACATTCACTGCCTTGTCTTTTGTTCTGCTTTCTGGGAGATGTTCTTGAATGTCCGAACTTCCTCCTGCATTTTAAATTTCTGCCCTCCCAGGTTTCATTTCCAAGAGCTCATTTCTGCTCTCTGCTTGTTCTTTTTTTACAGCTTCCTGTTCCTGTTTCATGAGTGCAATGTCTTTTTTTCTTCATCTTTCCTGCTGTGGTGGGGTTTTCCAGCAGGAAAACTCAGAGCTGGGTGGGAGGGCTCTGCCATGGTTCGTGAGTTTGCTCCCCTTTCCCCATGGGCTGTGTTGGTTGAAAAGAACTCTCTCCCTCCCCCAACTCCTCGTCAAATTCAAATGCTCACAGGGTCTCCAATATTCAGCGACCTTTCATGGATTAAATTCTGAGCCATTCTTTTGCCCCTAGAAGGTTGTCCTCTATAGAATAGCGTAAAACTGTTAGGAGATTGTTAGAACAAAGTCTTGCAGGCACCTTCACTTGGCAGAAGAATCGATCAAACTCCATTTAGAAGGGAGCTCATTGAAGGGGCCTTGGTTTCCCGTTTCCTTTGTAACCAAGACAGTTCTTTCCAGAGGGAGTAGATTTGGCTTGACCCTGCATCTCAGCCCAGGTTCCCAGTGGCCACATGCCAACATTTGATGGGGGTGGGGAGGTGCAGTCCCAGGGGAGAGAGGAGGGGGGGGTGGGGAGAAGGGGAGGGAGGGAGAGCAGGCTGTGGCTCTGCAGTCCTGAGCTGGCCTCAGCCTTCAGAGAGGACAGTGGACATCCTGGAGAGGCCACGGGGAGCCACTGCATCCTGGAAGAGTTGAGTGTGGTAGCCTGAGCCCTGGCCTTGATTCTGCGACCTCGGGTGTGAACTCACCAGGTAGAAGACGGGGACGCTGGCAGGGACGCAGACCGTGCCTGAGCCGGCCTTCCTGTGTGGGCCCAGATACCGGCTCAGGTCCCACCTCCCCTGGTGCTGTCCACACCAGGACAGCAGAAGCCTCATGCCTGGTCCCCAGGGATACGGTTCTGAATCAAAACCTCTCACGGCACATCGAATTGAGCCTGACCAACGCCTGGGTCCTGGCAGTGGAGGCTGGGAGGAGAGTGTCTGGGATTCTGTCCGGGGAGGCAGGGCTGTCACTGTGGGGAGCTATGAACATGGATGGGGCTTGCTGAAGAGACTCAAGCAGCTCGGGGGTCAGAACAGCTCCGAGAACCACGTCCTCCTCCCACTTTGGGATCTGGGCCAAGTCTCCCTGCCTGTCTGGGCCTTGGTTCCCTCCTCTGTAAGTGTGTGGAGGACAAGGTGACCTCTAAGACCTGTCCAGTTCTGGGGTCCCACCCCTGAGGACTTTGCAGCCTGGGCTGGCAGCCCTGAATGATACGGGGGACACCTGCAGGGGCCGCACCCCTGCATAGACTGCAGTTAATTCTGGGTTAAGCAAAGCCTGTGTTTCCCACACGGGCCCAGCTTCTGATGTCTGGAAAGATGAGGACCCGCACTTGCTTCCATCAGCAGCATGTCCTGTGCACACGAAGGTTGCACCGTCCTAAAAACACCACTGCGATGACGATCTGAGCTTTTAAGTGTCTCCTGCTGTCTGCAGCACGTTGAGCAGAACACCCTCCAAATTCCACCTTATTTGGAATAAGGGTCTTTGCAGGTGTAATTAATTGAGAGTCTGTGATCATCCTGGTTTTAGGGTGGGCCCTAAATCCAATGACTGGTGTCCTTATGAGAAGAGGAGAGGCCACAGAGGGACACATGGAGAAGGCCATGGACGGCAGAGGCAGGGGTCAAGGTGACACAGCCACAGCCGAGGGACGCCTAGAGTCACCCGAAGCGGGGAGGGGCAGGAAGGATCCTCCTTGGAGCCTTCGGAAGGAGCGGGGCCCTGCCCACACCTTGGTTTCAGCCTTCTGGACATCAGAACTTCGAGGGAATCCTTTTCTGTTACTTCGAGCCACCAGGTTTGTGTAATTCGCTACTACGGCAGTCACAGGAACTCAGGCACCATTTCTCTTTTTTTTTTTTTTTGACATGGACTCTCACTCTGTCACCAGGCTGGAGTGCAGTGGCGCCATCTCAGCTCACTGCAACCTCTGCCTCCCGGGTTCAAGCGATTCTCCCGTCTCAGCCTCCTGAGTAGCTGGGGCTACAGCCGCGCGCCTCCCTGCCAGCTAATTTTTGTATTTTTAGCGGAGACCGGGTTTCACCATGTTGGCCAGGATGGTCTCGATCTCTTGACCTCGTGATCCGCCCGCCTTGGCCTCCCAAAGTGCTGGGATTACAAGCGTGACCCATCACTCCCGGCCTCTCTTTTTGAAAAGAAGTGACCAACACATTTTATGAGATAATGTAATCTCAACATCAAAAAAATGAGGACATTACAAGAAAGGATAATTACTGGCCAATCTTAATTATTAGAAAAATACTTTTCAAAACAGCAAAGAAAATATTAGCAAAATTAATCAAGTAATGGATTTTGTCCCAGGAACTCAGGTTTAGTAAAACATTACAAAAGGTACCCAGATAATGCACCAGTCTCACCAGTTAAAGGAGAAAAGACATGTGCCTGTATCCGCTGGTTCATAGCTGATATTCAATAAAATTCAACAAAGCAATGACCTCAACAGGAGAAAGATTTTCTTCCAAAAATCTACAGAAAATGCTTGATGAAAAAAAAAAAAAAAGAATTTTTTTTTTAAGTGATGGGGTCCTCTCCCTCTCCCTCTCCCTCTCCCTCTCCCTCTCCCTCTCCCTCTCCCTCTCCACGGTCTCCCTCTCTCTCCACGGTCTCCGTCTGATGCTGAGCCCAGGCTGGACTGTACTGCCGCCATCTCGGCTCACTGCAACCTCCCTGCCTGATTCTCCTGCCTCAGCCTGCCGAGTGCCTGGGATTGCAGGCGCGCGCCGCCACGCCTGACTGGTTTTCGTATTTTTTGGTGGAGACAGGGTTTCGCCGTGTTGGCCGGGCTGGTCTCCAGCTCCTGACCGCAAGTGATCTGCCTGCCTCGGCCTCCGGAGGTGCCGGGATTGCAGACGGAGTCTCGCTCACTCAGTGCTCAATGTTGCCCAGGCTGGAGTGCAGTGGCGTGATCTCGGCTCGCTACAACCTCCACCTCCCAGCCACCTGCCTTGGCCTTCCAAAGTGCTGAGATTGTAGCCTCTGCCTGGCCGCCACCCTGTCTGGGAAGTGAGGAGCGTCTCTGCCTGGCCGTCCATCGTCTGGGATGTGAGGAGCCCCTCTGCCCGGCCGCCCAGTCTGGGAAGTGAGGAGCGCCTCTTCCCGGCCGCCATCCCGTCTAGGAAGTGAGAAGTGTCTCTGCCCGGCCGCCCATCGTCTGGGATGTGGGGAGCGCCTCTGCCCCACCGCCCTGTCTGGGATGTGGGGAGCGCCTCTGCCCGGCTGCGACCCCGTCTGGGAACTGAAGAGTGTCTCTGCCCGACTGCCACCCCGTCTGGGAGGTGAGGAGTGTCTATGCCCGGCCGCCCCGTCTGAGAAGTGAGGAGCCCCTCCGCCTGGCAGCTGCCCCGTCTGGGAAGTGAGGAGCCCCTCCGCCCGGCAGCCGCCCCGTCCAGGAGGTGGGGGGCAGCCCCCGCCCGGCCAGCCGCCCCATACGGGAGGTGGGGGGTGCCTCTGCCTGGCCGCCCCGTCTGGGAAGTGAGGAGCCCCTCTGCCCGACCACCACCCCGTCTGGGAGGTGTACCCAACAGCTCATTGAGAAGGGGCCATGATGACGATGGCGGTTTTGTCGAAAAGAAAAGGGGGAAATATGGGGAAAAGAAAGAGAAATCAGATTGTTACTGTGTCTGTGTAGAAAGAAGTAGACATAGGAGACTCCATTTTGTTCTGTACTAAGAAAAATTATTCTGCCTTGGGATGCTGTTAATCTATGACCTTACCCCCAACCCCGTGCTCTCTGAAACATGTGCTGTGTCCACTCAGGGTTAAATGGATTAAGGGCGGTGCAAGATGTGCTTTGTTAAACAGATGCTTGAAGGCAGCATGCTCCTTAAGAGTCATCACCACTCCCTAATCTCAAGTACCCAGGGACACAAACACTGCGGAAGGCCGCAGGGTCCTCTGCCTAGGAAAACCAGAGACCTCTGTTCACATGTTTATCTGCTGACCTTCCCTCCACTATTGTCCTATGACCCTGCCAAATCCCCGTCTCCGAGAAACACCCAAGAATGATCAATAAATACTAAAAAAAAATAAAAAAATAAAAAAAAGAAAATGAAGGATGGAGCCATGAGCTGAGGAATGTAGGCAGCCTCTAGAATATAGAAAAAGCAATGAAACTGATTCTGTCCTATAGCCTCCAGAAGGAACATAACCCTATTGACACCCTGATTTCAGCCCAGTAGTTGTGATTTTGGATTTCTCACCTCCAGAACTATAAGATAATAAATTCATGTTGTTTTAAGCTAAAAAAAAAAAAAGAGATGGGGTCTTGCGCCGGGCGTGGTGGCTCACGCCTGTAATGCCAGCACTTCGGGAGGCCAAGGCGGGCGGATCACGAGGTCAGGAGATTGAGACCATCCTGGCTAACACGGTGAAACCCCGTCTCCATTAAACATACAAAAAATTAGCCGGGCGTGGTAGCAGGCGCCTGTAGTCCCAGCTACTCGGGAGGCTGAGGCAGGAGAATGGTGTGAACCCGGGAGGCAGAGCTTGCAGTAAGCCGAGATTGCACCACTGCACTCCAGCCTGGGCAACAGAGCGAGACTCCATCTCAAAAAAAAAAAAAAAAAAGATGGGGTCTTGCTATGTTGCCCAGGCTGAACTCAAACTCCTGAGCTCAAGTGATCCTCCAGCCTCAGCTTCCGAGTAGCTGGGATCACAGGCGTGGGCCCCCGTGCCCGGCTCAGAGGGGCTTCTTGTAAGTTAGGAGCAAGTCCAGGCCTTCCCTCCAGATGTGGTTGAGCTGGAGCTCGGACCCACTGCCCCACGGGACCCCGGCCTCAGACCCAGGTGGCTTTGGCTACTCATCTTCAAGGCCCCAAAGCTCCTATTTCTGCTCCTTTTTATTTATTTACTTATTTTTTTGAGACAGGATGTCACTCTGTGGCCCAGGCTGGAGTGCAGTGGTGCGATTATAGCTCACTGCAGCCTCGACCTCCCGGGCTCAGGTGATCCTCCCGCCTCAGCCTCCCGAGCAGCTGGGACCCCAGGCGCAGCCACAGTATACCGGCCTCTGCTCTCTTCCATACAAGATGGAAGCAGCCGGGAGTGACACCTGCCCAAGTCCTCGTAGGTCTCCTCAGGTCCTGTTGGGTCGTCAGGGCTGAGGTCGGCTGAGGGTTGGGTGTTCACAGGCTGATTTTAGGCTGGGCCTGCTGACCACAGGGCCTGGGAGTGAACCCCATGTCCCCGAGGCCTCTTCCCTGGTCTCCATCCTATCCTCAGGTAACCTTGGCCTCTGCTTCATCTTGGATAAACTGTGGCCCCACAGAGGCCTCAGAAAGCAAAACCCTGCCCCTGGGAGGTTCTCGTCCCATTTCAGCTCCTTTTCTAATTCGGTGGTGAGACAGCAAAGCTGAGCCTAGAGTGGCTGTGCAGACAGGCCCCCAGCCAAAGGCCCTGGGTCTTCCAGCAGCTTTCGTTGTCACCGGGACCTGGCCTGCTCCCAAGGTTCCCGAGAGCAGTGGGGCTGTCCCCCACACCCAGGTCCCATCAGCGAGGCTGGGGGCTCCTCTCCCCTCGCTGATGGACGGGGAAGCCAGGCTCGCTTTCCTTCCGGGTCCTCGATTCTCGCTGGATCAACAGTGTCACAAGTCAGACTCCTTAAAACTGCTTTCCAAGGGAACCCAAAATATCTGTTTCTAGAAGTGTTGGCATTGAAGAGCTGGAGATGACTCACAGCCCAGCCAGTGTCTCCTCTTCCACACCCACACTGCTGGGTCTATTTCTAGACAGCTTGGTTGTGTGTGGAGTTCAGGGAACCTGGATCTTCCAGCATCTTGTCTTAACTGGAACGTTCCATCAGTGGTTCTGTCCAGAGTATCTAGCGAGCTGTTTACAGCCACTCCCCTGAAGCTCAGAGGCAATGATGAGCCCTCCCAGTGATCAAAGACAAAGTCACTTATGTTCCACATCATTGCCCCTTGCATTGATAGGTGTTTAAGTGCATCCTGGAGGTTTTCTGAGGCAGGCAGTTGGCGTATGGAAGTGGTCATCATGGAAGTCACACTCGTGTTTGTGCTGCTTTCAGGAGGCCTTCGTCCCAAGCCCTGCACCCCACCCTGGCCATAATGCTTAGTGTCACCCCCATCCCTGGGGCAGGAAGCCAAGGGCCAGAGTAGCCCCTGCCTGTGAGCAGTGAGGGGCTGTCCAGTGCTTTCATTCAATCCATCCCAGTTTTCTCGTCAACAAAGTGAGGATGAGAATGCCTCAGAATCACAATGCTTACCTTTCAGGGTTGTTTTGAGGAGTAAGAGATGACACACGAGCAGGGTGCACACAGCAGGCACTCCATGTGTGCAGGGATCAGCGTGCACACAGCAGGCACTCCATGTGTGCAGGTCCCTCCTCCTCCTGGATGTTTATCAAGCGCCTCCCTGACAGTGCCCCGTGTTCGCTGCAGGCGCCGTGCCCAATGGGGAGAGGCCCCTGGATCGAGTCCGGGTGGGTGCGGCTCCACCTCTTCCAGCTCCAGACCAGGAAGAGCCTCTCAAGCTGCTTTTCAGGGCCATGTGGAACGGAGGCTGGTGCCACTGTCTGATGGCTCAATGGCTGCAGACCATCGGCTATGTCTAAATCCATAAAAGTCCTAAATGAGCTAACAAACCATTCATGAGATCTTTTCCATCCTCCTACTGGACACGCGTATTTCCACGAAGACCCGGAAGGCCCGTTAGAACTCGGAAACGGGCTGCTCTAGGTTGGGTTCTGGAAGATGGCGTCAGGAGCTCCGGCCTCAGCCCCAGCCTGCAGCCTCCTCTTCCTAGCCAGGACCCTCCGGCACCACCACAGCCCTCAGCAAATAGCTGTCCTTGGCTGCCCCTCGGGCCTGGGGTGGTCCCCTTGGAGGAAGGACCTGGGAGAGGCTCATGCAGACCCCAGAGGCCGGCTGGGGTCTTTGGGCAGAGAAATCTCTGTCTGGGGCCCTGGAATGTGGTCTAGAAGGTGAGGGTGGGGGCCTCTGGGCGGAAGTTCCCTGGGCCCTGCGACCGCCCTGCCCTCCGGGATGGGGGTCCCTCTCACGTGTCCTCTCACAGCCTGGGTCTCCAGGCCCCGCCATGGGGAGATCAGCTTGGCAAAGGCACACCCAGCGCTGCACCTCCTGGCCCCCGGAGCTTCACCTGGAGGTTAGGGCAGAACTTTGTCCATCAGGAACTGGGGGTTCAGCCGTCTCCACCCCTCCCCATCCTGCCCTGGGAGCAGCTGTCCCCAGGCTCAGGGGCTCCTTTGGCCTCTTGGCAGGGTTCTCAGGGGCACCAGCAGTGAGCTGCCCGCAGTACCCAGTGGTGCCCAGCAGGGAGGTGGCCCCTGCCACCCACTGGCTTACTTGGCCACAGTGAGATGTCCCCATGCAGGATCCCGCACTAGCTCGGCTTGCTGAGAACCCGGCCAAGGCAGGTATCAAATACGGTAACCCGAGAAGAGAGGAATTTCGACAGCCCCGTACACAAGGAGAGCATGATCCAGCACCCGGCGCCAGGTCTGCTCTGACGGCACGGCCAGAACAGCGGGTCCCGCACGTTCCCGCTCATGGAAATCCAGCGCCCAGCGCCACATCTCTGACTGCAGGGCCAGGACGGTGGGTCCCGCACGTTCCCGCTCATGTGGAAAGGCTACACCACTTAGTAGAAGAGGGTTTTATCACAGAAGCTAGTGCTAAGGGGACTGCAGCGTGACCGCCATCCCTCATCTTGTTTGCTCACTGTGTGCGCCAGCACAGACCCTGCCGACCCGCTGTGGACACACTGAGGAAGGGGCGTGGGGAGGCCGGAGGAGACAGGAGCCCTCCCACCACGCCCCTCCCCTGGCACAGGGCTGCATTTGCCCTCAGCCTCCAACTTAGGGCTGCACAGAGGGGCAGAACTGGGGGTGCTGAGGTCCAGGATTGGGAGGGGCTTAAAGCCTGAGAGGAGAAGAGAAGGAGAAGCAGCAAATTAGCACAAGGTGGCCCAGGAAGGGGACCAGGAAGTGACCGTGTGAGGTGGCCGTGTCCACCCACTGCTAGGGTCAGATCCCTGGGCCGGATCCTGAGCTGCCCTCTGGAGAAGGCAGCCCTCCAGGCCTAGGCATCCCTGGGCTTCCCCAGGGCGAGCAGAAGCAGCTGGGAAGCCTGTCCCACGGGAGGGACATCACAGGGCCCTTAAGCCGAGAGAGATGCATCTGGGTGTGGGGGGTATGGGGTGGGGTCTCGGTTGAGCAGCAGTTCAGGGAGGGCCGCAGCAAGCTCAGCCGGCACCAGCTACGCGGGAGGCTGAGACAGAAAGAATGAGTCGCTGGAACCTGGGAGGCAGAGGCTGCAGTGAGCCAAGATCGCGTCATTGCACTCCAGCCTGGGCGACAGAACAGTTCTCCGTCTCAAAAAAAAAAAAAAAATTTTACAGTGATTGGCTGGGTGCGGTGACTCATGCCTGTAATCCCAGCACTTTGGGAGGCTAAGGCGGGCAGATCGCTTGATCCCAGGAGTTCGAGACTAGCCTGGGCATCATAGCAAGACCCCATCTCTACCAAAAAAAAAAAAAAAATACAAAAATTAGGCAGGTGTGGTGGCATTCATCTGTGGTCTCAGCTACTCTAGAGGCTTAGGTGTAAGGATGGCTTGAGCCTGGGAGGCAGAGGTTGCAGTGAGCTGAGATAGTACCACTGCACTCCAGCCTGGGCACGACAGAGTCAGACCCTGTCTCAATTTAAAACATTATTAAAAACAAAACAAAAAAATACAGTGATGACCGGGCGTGGTGGCTCACGCCTGTAATCCCAGCACTTTGGGAGGCTGAGGTGGGCAGATCATTTGAGGTCAAGAGTTCGAGAACAGCCTGGCCAATGTGGTGAAACCCCGTCTCTACTAAAAATACAAAAATTAGCTGGGTGTGGTGGCTCATGCCTATAATCCCAGCTACTTGGGAGGCTGAGGCAGGCAGATCATTTGAGCCCAGTGGTTCAAGACCAGCCTGGGCCAACAGCAAGACCTCAACTCTACAAAAAATATAAAAATTAGGCCAGGTGCTGTGGCTGGCTGGGCATGGTGGCTCACACCTGTAATCCCAGCACATTGGGAGGCCGAAGTGGGTGGATCAGCTGAAGTCAGGCACTCAAGACCAGCCTGGCCAACATGGTGAAACCCCGTCTCTACTAAAAATACAAAAATTAGC
Organism: Homo sapiens; assembly: GCF_000001405.40. Lineage (NCBI taxonomy): Eukaryota > Metazoa > Chordata > Mammalia > Primates > Hominidae > Homo > Homo sapiens. The sequence continues at coordinate 43,828,160 of NC_000021.9, forward strand.
TGGGCGTGGTGGCGCATACCTGTAATCCCAGCTACTCGGGAGGCGGAGGCTGGAGTCTCCCTTGAACCTGGGAAGTGGAGGTTGCGGTGAGCCGAGATGAAACCACTACACTCCAGAGAGTGTGACTCTGTCTCAAAAAAAGAACAAAAGAAAGGACACAGCAAGAACCATAAAAGAAAATTGGATATATTGGACTTCATCAAAATTGAAAAGTTCTGCTTATTAAGAGACATCATTACAAAATAAATAGACAAGCCATAGACTGAGAGAAAAATATTTGTAAACTACACATTTGTCAATAAAAAGAAAAACAAGGCAACTAAAAATGGGCAAACAATCTGAACAGGCACGTCACGAAAGATGGCACACAGATGGCCAATAAGCACGCGAAACAGTGCTTGACATCATCAGACACTGAGGAAATAAAAGTTAAAACCACATGAGATATGTCATCAGAAAGGCTAAAGCTAAAATGATGGGGTGTTTAGCTGTGGTGGAGGCCCCTGGAATCCCTGCTGCACACTGCAGGTGGGTGTGTAAATGGTACAATCCCTTTGATACAAGATCTGGCAATTTCTTATAAAGCTAAATATACAACTACCCTATAACCTAGCAACTGCTCTACTGAATTTTTATGGAGAGATGGGGCATGGTGGCGTGTGCCTGTAATCCCAGGCTTGAGGCAGGAGAATCACTTGAACCCAGGAGGTGGAGGTTGCAGTGAGCCGAGATCACACCAGCCTGGGTGAAAGAGCAAGACCTTGTCTCAAAAAACAAAGAAACCACAAACAACGCCCCCCCCCACCCCCAAAACACCTGTACTCAAGTGTCAAGATTTGATAAAACTGATACTTCCAGGCCATCAAGCACGTCAGGTGTTTGGTGATGAAGGATCCGATGTCCATTAGTAGAGCTTGGGGCCATGGCCTTGATTTGTGCTAAGACACCAGCAGTTTAAAAGCACACTGTGGTAAAATACACATTTACCATCCTGCCCATGTTTAGGGGTCCCATTCGGTGGCACTAAGAGCACCCACATTGCTGTGCAACTTCACCACCCCGGAGCTGCTTCAGCTTTCCAAACTGGAACTCCGTCCCCATGAAACACTCCCTCCCCACCCCCCGCCAGCACCTACGCTTCACCTGCTGTCTGTGTGGGTCAGACTCCTCTAGGGACCTAAGTGGGGTCACACAGCATTTGGCTCTCGTGCCTGGCTTCTTTGAGCGTAATGTCCCCACATGTCAGAATTGCCGGCACCCCCGGCTTTACCTGCCATTGCTTCTGTACCATCGACAGTGCAAATGTGAGTCCCATAACAAAACATCTCGAGGAACATCTCAGTCTTGCCATGAAAATAGTTCGGATCTCCCAGACCCCCCAGGGCATCAGATGAGTCCACACAGGAGAACCCCACACCCCGTGGCCTCTACCCGCAGACACAACTGAGGTTATCACCACACTTCTACTCAAACGGGAACATTCTCCACAAAGCCACAGTGCTGGCGCCACACTGAGGAAATTCACAGCAGTGTCTTTCTGTTGGAGCCCAATATCCAGTCCACACTCAGGCTCCCAGCTGAGCCAGCGTGTCACACGCGGTGTTCTTCCAAACCAGCGCCAAGACTCACGCTCTCCTTGGCCGCGGGTTTCTTGTCCCTGTTGTGGCAGAAGCCCCCAGCCCTCCCCACTTTTCCTCCTCCGTGACAGTTTGAGGACACTGACTCGGAAGAGAAGGCACACCCAGGGCACAGCCCTCCCCAGTGCTCCTGAAACAGGCAGTGCTGTCTACAGCAGGCGTCTCGGCAGCGTGGAGACAGAAGTCACCTGGCTGCCGGCTTCCATCTCGGATTTGGTGCTGCTTTGGGTGATGGACGTGGAGAGGGAACCCCAGTGTCAGCGGTGCCTGTGACCCTCAGGCAACGTGAAACGCAGCTGCTTCCACATGCCAGGAAGGCTGTTAGAAAATCCTGCATGTCTGCCGGGCGTGGTGGCTCACACCTGTAATTCCAGCACTTTGGGAGGCTGAGGCGGGCAGATCACAAGGTCAGGAGATCGAGACCATCCTGGCTAACACAGTGAAACCTTGTCTCTACTAAAAACACAAAAAATTAGCCGGGCGTGGTCGTGGGCGCCTGTAGTACTGGCTACTCGGGAGGCTGAGGCAGGAGAATGGTGTGAACCCGGGAGGCGGAGCTTGCAGTGAGCCGAGATGGCGCCACTGCACTCCAGCCTGGGCGACAGAGAGAAACTCTGTCTCAAAAAAAAGAAAGAAAGAAAGAAAGAAAACCCCGCTTGTCACTGCCGTCGCCGCCAGGAGTCACTCAGTGGTCATTGGACTGTGCCCCAGCGGTGGGATCAGCTTCCCATGGGTGGCCGCCGGCACCAGGCTGGTTGGTCACCGCAAACCCACACTGCCTTCCCACGCCAGCTCAGGAGCCGACGTTGCTTCTCGGTGTCCTCAGCCACAGCCCTTGTTCATCAGACACGAAGGGAGCTCACCAAGGACCACCCAATGGTGCAGAGTTCTTATCCAGCCACATAACGGCCTTCACACAGCTGCCCTTCAGGAAACAATATTTAACTCTAACCTGCCTATGTGTGCATGCACTGTCTTGTTATTAAATGCGCCAACATATTACTTTAATATTTCGATAACTTTTTCACTTTAATTGGTTTTCTTTGCAATCAGATGTGTTTTATCTTACGGATTTGTCAACATCATTTGAGAAGAAGTCCATAGGCTCAGCAGATTTTTATGCCAGGTGGGCCATGGCATAAAAATGTGAAGAATGTGCTCACTTAGACAATACGTGTGCTAAAATTGGAACAATACAGAGAAGATTAGCAAATTAAAACAATGTTAGGAAGTCAGTGTGGTGAGGTACGGTGCCTCATGCCTGTAATCCCAGCACTTTGGGAGGCCGAGATGGAAGGACTGCTTGAGACCAAGAGGTTGTGACCAGCCTGGACAACAGAGGAGACCCTGTCTCTGCTAAAAATAAAAAATTAGCTGGGTGTGGTGGTGCATGCCTGCAGTTCCAGCTACTTAGGAGGCTGAGGTGGGAGGATCGCTTGAGCCCAGGAATTTGAGGCTGCAGTGAGTTATGACCGCACCACTGCACTCCAGCCTGGGCGACAGAGCGAGACCCTGTCTCAAAAAACAAACACAAAACAAACCCCAACAACCTTGGTCTGGAGGATCCATCCAGGTCAAAACGTGTGCAGGGTCCTGTGGAGGATCTGGGGGTTCACGCTGCCCTCATGTGAGGCCACGGTGTGGATCATCCCATGGGTGGGGACACCAAATGGACCGCTTGGTGGGGGTGGTGACCTTGAGAGCTCTCTTTTGTGAGGGTCCTTGGCAGTGAGCAAGTCGCCGGCTCAGCAGCACCACAGACGCGGCTTTCCCACACACCCCCAGGGTTTCGGCAGCCAGTGTTCACCCCTGCCTGAATCAGCCGTTCCCCGAGGGGGCTGGTGTCTGGAGACGTTCTCAGTCGGCTGTTCCTGCCACACTTCTTAGCTGACATTTTCTGTAAGGAGAAGCTGTTCCTCATTAACTAGAAAAGGCCGGTGACTGGTGATCACTTTCCTTTCAAAGCCAATCTTCAGAGGGAGGGATTCGCAGGATGTCATCTCTGGGTGACAAATGACATTTGCTTTCTTCCCCCTCGCTCTCTCTTTGGTGTCACTGTGGACTTACAGATATTTTCTTTTTTTTTTTGAGGTGGAGTCTCACTCTGTCGCCCAGGCTGGAGTGCAGTGGCGCAATCTCGGCTCACTGCAACCTTTGCCTTCCAGGTTCAAGAGATTATCCTGCCTCAGCCTCCCGAGTAGCTGAGATTACAGGCACCTGTCACCTCGCCTGGCTAATTTTTGTATTTTTATTAGAGATGGGGTTTCACCATGTTGGCCGGGCTGGTTTTGAACTCCTAACCTCAGATGATCCACCCACCTTGGCCTCCCAAAGTGCTGAGATTACAGGCTCGAGCCAGATTTTTATTTAGTACTAGTTTACGATCAAAATAATCGATTGCTCTTTTTAATGTTCCAAATGACCCACACTTGGCCAGTGGGAGCCCCTGGCGGCCCAGCTGTCCACCCTGCCGGACGTGGGTAAGTGTCCTCACCTCTGGCATGACCAGGTGCCAGGCACACTAGGACCTCAACTGCCCCACCCTGGAGCTAGCCCCTTCTCCGAAGAGAGTGTCCCACCAACCTGAGTGGCAGGGCGTGAAAGCATGGCCCTCCTGCAGGCACAGAACGCAGCCTCCCTCTGCCTCAAGCTGTCCTGTGTGGCCGTTTCCCTCTCTCTCATCGACCCTTCCAGGCCCAGGATTTTCGGGGGGCCTAGAGCGTACGCGCTTTCCATTTTTAAGGCTTCTTTTCCCATATGCTGCATGAGGTGCCCTCCTCGGACATCCAAGGCCCTGCCAAGGGTTTCCAACACGTGTCCATGACAAAACACCAGGTCCTTCTCCTCCCCTCACCCTGTGCCCCCACAAGTCCATCAGTAAGTCATGCTAGCCCCACCTGGACGATGTTTCCAGCATCTGACCTGCCCTCCAGGCTGCCCTCACCCAGGCCTGCATGCTCCCTGCGCCCCCATCCCCAGTGCACATGGCTCCCTGTAGCCCTGTGACTTTGCAGATAAGGCTATGTCTCTGAGTCCCTCGTCACCAATGAGGCAGCTGTGGGCAACGGGGAAGGCAGGCAACTTGGCCTCCCGAGCAGGTGACATGTGAGGTTGGCAGCAGCTCCCAGGGAGTCACCGCGGCAGGGACTCCCAAGGTTCCTGAGAGTGCTTGAGAGCTGTCACCTCGCTCCTGGCCTTCCTTAGGGTCCTGTCCAGCAGCTGCGAGAGGCTTTGAGCACCTGCGTCTGAACCCTTCTCCTCGGAACACCTGGAGTGGCTTCCACTCTCTGGGCCAGATCTGACTGATAGCCCCAGACAGCCCTTCCCTGCACAGGGTCAGGGGCAGTGGAGATGACCCCTTCCCGGGGCCTCCCTGTGACTGGCAGGAAATGTCAGCGACCACCGGCCACCTTCCCACTTGACTCATACCTTAGTTTTCCATCATGACTGTTTCAATGGTGATTTATAAATATCAGATGCCAGGTTGTTTTTTTTTCTTTTCGAGATGGAGTCTTGCTCTGTCGTCAGACTGGCGTGCAGTGGCACCATGTTGGCTCACTGCAACCTCCAACTCCCTGGTTCAAGCTATTCTCCTGCCTCAGCCTCCTGAGTAGCTGGGATTACAGGCACACGCCACCACGTCTAGCTAATTTTTGTATTTTTAGTAGAGATGGGGTTTCACCGTGTTGGCCAGGATGGTCTCGATCTCCTGACCTCGTGATCTGCCCGTCTCGGCTTCCCAAAGTGCTGGGATTACAGGCATGAGCCACCACGCCTGGCCAGATGCCAGATTGTTTTTTTAAAAAAGCGTGTGACAGTTCCTCAAAAGCTTAAACATATGAAACATGGAGTTGTCATGTGACACAGCAATTCCGCTCCTAGGACAGACCCAGAATACTGAAATCAGGGACTCAAAGAGATGCTTGCCCCAAGAGGCTTAGAGTGGCACTCACAATGCCAAAAGCTGGAATCAATCCAGGGTTCCTTGACAAACAAATGGGCAAACTTAGAGTGGCACCCGGCCTGCTGAACATATTTTGGCTCCTGTGCGGGCTGCATCTTTTGTCAGTGGGTGTCTATCACCCATATAATCTCTGGCACTGCACTCCAGCCTGGGCGATAGAGCAAGGCTCCATCTCAAAACAAACAAACAAACAAACAAACTAGAAAAGGTGCCAAAAAAGAAACAGTGCCAAGAAGAGGAAGGAGCGATGGAATTGCTGTGGTAGGCCCTTAGACACAAGTGATGGGCAGTGATCTTGTTTCAGGGTGGAACATGCTGCGTTGAAGATGTGCATTGTATCACTTGGCAGACAGGGAGAGGAGGGAAAGCAATTTGAGCTCAGCAAGCTCGTCCCCACCGTGGACACTGGCTGGGCTAGAGGAGAGGAGCCTGCAGAGGGCCCATTGGGTCTGGGGTTGGGGAGGTGTCTCTACTGGGTGCACCCCCCATTTCACTTCCTTCCTTCTGCCAGGCTGGGGGTCCACATACTGTGCTGATTTTCGAGGCCACCCTCAGCATTCCGTTCGGCGATAGGCCGAGATGTCTAAGCGGGCCAGCGCCTCCCCGCCCTGCAGAGGAGCCTGCGTACACCCAGGAACGCCCGTCACCTCCCCGCCCTGCAGGGGAGCCTGTGTACACCCAGGAGCACCCATCGCCTCGCAGCCTGCTTGGGGGCTGTCTGGTGCCATCGTCTACGGTGGCATTGGGTTCTTGGGGCACAGCAGGAGGGTCTCAGAGCTCAGAGCCTGTGTCTGCTGGGGCTGCGTCTCTCAAGGCGCCCATAGCGGTCAGCCCTTCCTGTTGCGGCTTCCATGTGGCCAGGCCGAGTCTCCAACGTCTCATTCAGAGGAGGGATTGGTGCAGCCGCCGCGCTCACAATCTTGCCCCTCAATGAGCAGCTTTGGTGAATCATCTCTGAAAAGACTGAATTTTGCTGAATTATTTAAAGCAAGCGCATCCATGAGAAGGAACTGCTTGCTGGGGCCTCAGGCCTCGCTGTGAGCTGTTCACCAGGAGGGAGCTGGCTGGGCAGGGGGTATGAAGGCCGCAGGTGTGAAGGTAGAGTCATTACCAGGCAGGGGCAGTGTGACCCAGCTGGGCAGAGAGCGCTGGCCTGTCTCAGAGGTGAGCTCACAGGTCTGGAAATGGTCTGAATAGAAAGGATTGGTCTCCGGAGGAAAGCATACTCTTCCTATTACCAGAACCCTGTGGGGTTTTTATTGATATTTCACTGGATTACAAATGTTGAAAATGTTGCAAAATGAACATCCTGGTAACTCAAGTATTTCATGGACCCTCACAAACCTCTGCGGACGCTGTTGGACTGGACCCCAAACCACAACGGGGCCCTGGTAGAGGAACTGCAGGAAAAGCAGGTTTCCTATAAGGAAAGACAAGAGGAAGCTCATTCTCCACACCCAGACCACTGGGCGTGGTGTTTGGGGAGCCCTTTGGGGAGCTGTAACGGGGCGTGGAGACCTTCTCCATTGCGCCCCCGACCAGGGCCGGGCCTGGCTGTGACTCCGGGGCGGGCAGTGATGCCATCTGTCTTCTGCAGAGGAGAACGCTGGGACCCCCTGGAGCACCTTTCAAGAACGACTCCAAAGCCGGATATTTGCAGTGGGAGGAGAGGAAGGGAGTGCCCGGCTGTGTCTTCTTCATCCCCCTGAACACAGGAGGGGGCAGCCTGGCTGAAGGCCTGACCCCTGGGGGGAAAGCGCACCTGGTGAAAAACTGTTCTCTGACTGATGTGATGATGAAAACGAATGGCAGGTCCTTCTCATACCGCAACGTGGAAAGAAGGCCCTGGAAGCGCCACTGCTTGGCTCCAGCGCCCCAGCTCATTCGGAGCAAGCTGTGGCCCACAGGGAGCCCCTGGAGGATCTGCTGGCTTCCTTAACGAAGCAATGCTCTGAGCGCCAGGGTGGGGACGGGGTCTCCCTCAGCATCTTCAGGAAGGAAACAAGCAGTGCCTTTCCCTGTGGGCCAAGTTCCAGGCCCTACCCCTCCCTGAAGGGCAAGGGGCATTGGGGGACAAGAGATGGACCTCCTGGGGACACATCCTTTCCCAGGCCAGCCTGAGCTCCAGAGTTTGATTTTATTAAGGGAGTCAGAAGGGGGCCCGTACAGACAGACCTTCGTGGGACCACTATGGCCCAGACACCATGGCCACAGTCCACCACCAAGAAGAGGGCAGGATCAGGAGGCACAGGGACTCAAGCCCTCCAGACGCAGCAGTCCCGGCCATCTCCTCACCCTGGTCCCTCACCCCAGCCCCACAGGATGACCATCACTGGCCACACACAGCTGAGGAGCTAGGACCCCACCTGGGCCAAACCCTGACGGGGGTGGCGGTCACCAGACATCAACATGAGAGGGAGATGGGGAGAGAGAGAAAGAGGCAGTGGGGAGGAGAGAGAGGATATCTTGGAATTTAATACTATTCAATGTTCAAAAACCAAGCATCAGGGATAGACACTTTCAGAATGTCAGAGTAGGGCCCCTCCAAATCTGTTTCTCCATAAAAGCAATGAGAATACTGGCAAAAATTATAAAAGTGAACTCTTTCAGAACTCTGGAAATTCACCAAAGGGTTGCAACCCTCTGAGGAGCATCTCTACTAAAAAATACAACAAATTAGCCAGGCGTGGTGGCGGGCACCTGTAGTCCCAGCTACTCCGGAGGCTGAGGCAGGAGAATGGTGTGAACCCGGGAGGCAGAGCTTAAGCCAAGATTGTGCCGCTGCACTCCAGCCTGGGCAACAGAGCGAGACTCCATCTCAAAACAAACAAACAAACAAACAAACAAAAAAACCGCTGAATCTCATTGGAACAATGAGTGTTGGGTCATTTTAGCTGTCACTGTTTCTATTCCCACTACCCCTGCAGTAGCCTTGAAAACCAGCATCCTCGTACCCACTGGCCGACTAGGGTGGGTTTGGAGCTCCCAGAAGCCCCATCCCCTGATAATTGTCACTATTTGACCCATCTGGCAGCGTCCTAGAAACACTCCCCCGCACCCCGCCCCACCACCACCCTTTGCAGGGCTTGTCTTTATTGACCTGACTCAGACCTTACTTACTAGGAACAGCTTTTTCCCTGGGATGATTGTTGAGAACCATCCGTGGAAACTGCTTAACATCATACCTGCCTAGCTGGTGTTACCAGTAGGGGCAAACAAGAAGACCAAAACCTTAAAAGGAAAAGCTGGGGAATGGGATGTCCACAGGGGGTCTGAAAGGCTGACATGTTCCTGGGAATCTAGAAATTAGAAATCACTAATAGAAGAAAATTTGGGAAATTCACAAATATGTGGAAGTAACATACTCCTGAATCACCAATGAATCAAAGAGGAAATCACAAAATAAATTAGAAAACACTTTGAGATGAATGAAAATAAAACCACAACATATCAAAATTTATGCAATACAGAAATGAAGTGGTTGGAGGAAAATTTATAGCTGTAAACACCTGCATTAATAAAGAAAAAGGAAAAACAGTGAGATACCACTACATGTCCATTAGAATGGGGAAAAGCCAAAGCACTGACAACACCAAATGCTGGTGAGGACGTGGGGCCACAGGAACGCCCATTCATTGCTGGTGGGAATGCAAAATGGTGCAGCCACTTGGGAAGACAGTTTGGCAGCTTCTTACAAAAGTAAACACGCTCTTTCCGTAGGACCCGGCAATCACACTCTTCAGTATTTACCCAAATGAGCTGAAAACTTATATCCACACAAAAACCTGCACACAGGACTGGATGTAGTGGCTCACACCTGTAATCTCAGCACATTGGGAGGCCAAGGTGGGAGGATCGCTTGAGCCCAGGAGTTCAAGACCAGTCTGGGCAACAAAATGAGATCCCATCTCTACAAAAATTTTTAAAAATTATCCAAGTGTGGTGACACACACCTGTAGTCCCAGCTACTCAGGAGGTTGAGGTGGGAGAATGGCTTGAGTCCAGGAGTTCAAGGCTACAGTGAGCTATGATCACACCACTGCATGCCAGCCTGGGTGACAGAGAAAGACCCTGTCTCAAAAAAAACAAAACCAAACCAAAAAACCAACCAACCAAAAACCTACACCTGGATATTTATAGCAGCTTTACTCATAATTTCCAAAATTTGGAAGCAACCAAGATGTCCTTCTGTATGTGAATGGATAAATAAACAGCGATGCATCCAGACAGTGGGCTATTATTCAGCACTAAGAAGAAATGAGTTGTCAACTGTGAAGAGATACGGAGGAACTTCAGATGTGTATTGCCAGGTGGAAGAAGCCAGCCTGAAAATCCTACCTACTGGGCGATTCTGTATGGGAGGAAAAACCTTATCTCTACCCTCTTGGGGTCTTCGGCTGAGTCTAAGAATCAAATTGACCTAAGTCAGGTTAACAGGAGAAAAGCAGGGCCGGGCGCAGTGGCTCATGCCTGTAATCCCAGCACTTTGGGAGGCTGAGGTGGGCAGATCACTTGAAGTCAGGAGTTCAAGACCAGCCTGGCCAATATGGTGACTCTCTGTCTCTACTAAAAATACAAAAATTAGCCAGGCATGGTGGCGGGCGCCTGTCGTCCCAGCAGGAGAATCACTTGAACCCGGGAGGCAAAGGTTGCAGTAAGCGGAGATTGCGCCACTGCACTCCAGCCTGGCGACAGAATGAGACTCCATCTCAAAAAAAAACCAAACCAAACCAAACCAAAACAAAAAAATTACAGGAGAAAAGCAGACAGATTTTGTTTTACAGGTACATGGAAGTCCCCACAAGAAGATGAAGACCCAAAGACATGGCCAGGCCTAAATGTCTGTAGATTAGGCTGAGCAAAGAGAGGAAATTGTGGAAAAGTCACTAAAATATGTGAGGCGACCAAAGGAAGACAAGAATTATTGTAACAAGATCTGTTTGTACAGATTTCTCTCTGCCTGGAATCCCCATCTCTGGTGATAAAAATGTTTCTTTCCTCCTGGTATAGGGAACTGGGCTCTCGTATGGGAATTTAATCTCCTACTTTCAGGAAGAAAAGCGGGGGGTCTAAGCGTACTTCTTGCAGCTACTTTTATTTTTAGTGCCTTTAGCTAAAATAATTCTTATGCCATAGTGGCAGGTTTTTGGCTGGTATATTCCCTTCAATTCTGACTATATGATGTCTGGAAAAGACAAAACTATGAAGACAGTAAAAAGATCAGTGTTTGCCGGGGTAGGGGGAAGGAGGGATGAGTAAGCAGAGCACAGGGGACTTTTAGGGCCATGAAACACTCTGCGTGACACTGTAATGATGGATCCACGCCAGGTGCATGTGTGAAAACCCACAGAATGTACACCACCAATAGGCTGGGCGCGGCGGCTCACGCCGGTAATCCCAGCTCTGTGGGAGGCTGGGCGGATCACCTGAGGTCAGGAGTTCGAGACCAGCCTGGCCAAGAGGGTGAAAACCCCATCTCTACTGAAAATACGAAAATTAATTAGGCATGGTTGTGGGCATCTGTAATCCCAGCCACTTGGAAGGCTGAGGCTGGAGAATCACTTGAACACGGGAGGTGGAGGTTGCAGTGAGCCGAGATCACACCACTGCACTCCAGCCTGGGTGACAGAGTGAGATTCCATCTCAAATAATAATAATAATAATAATAATAACAACAATGCTGCTAAGGACAGTAGTGTCGTGTATGAGTTTCTGTGGGAACACGTTTTCATTTCTTTTTTTTTGTTTTTTTTTGAGACGGAGTCTTGCTCTGTCGCCCAGGCTGGAGTGCAGTGGTGCAATCTCGGCTCACTGCAAGCTCTGCCTCCCGGGTTCATGCCATTCTCCTGCCTCAGCCTCCTGAGTAGCTGGGACTACAGGCGCCCGCCACCACGCCTGGCTAATTTTTTGTATTTTTAGTAGAGACGGGGTTTCACTGTGTTAGGATGGTCTCGATCTCCTGACCTCGTGATCCGCCCACCTCGGCCTTCCAAAGTGCTGGGATTACAGGCGTGAGCCACCGCGCCTGGCCCACACGTTTTCATTCTTTGGGGGCCTTACCGAGGAGTGGAACTGTTGGTCATACAGCACCTCTATGTTGAACTTTTGAAGAGGCTGCTGCCCTGCTTACGGACGTGGTTGTACCATGGTGCATTCCTATCAGCGTCCCCTTCAAGGCTCTCTGTTGCCTGCCTGTTTTACTATAACCGTCTGAGTGGGTGTGAAGTGATAATTCATGGTAGTTTTCATTTGCGTTTCCTTAAGGTTACTGGTGTTGAACGTTTTTTCATGTGCTAATCGGCCACTCGTAGATCTTCTTTGGAGAGATGTGTCTTCAACCTCTTTGCTCGTTTTTTATTCAGAATATTTGTCTTTTTATTTATTGTTAAGATAATATTCTGGATATCAGTCCCTTACTAGACGTATGATTTGCAAATATTTTCTTCATTACTATAGGTTGTCTTTTCAGATTTGTTTGTTTGTTTTTGTTTTTCCTTTTTAGAGACATGGTCTGTCTCTGTCACCCAGGCTGGAGTTCAGTGGCATGATCATAGCTCACTGCACCCTCAAACTCCTGGGCTCAACTGATCCTCCCACCTCAGCTTCCTGAGTAGCTGAGACTACAGGTGCATGCCACCATGCTGAGCTGATTTTAAATTTTTTTGTGTGGAGATGGGGTCTTGCTATGATGCCCAGGCTGGTCTTAAACTCTTGTCCTCAAGCCATCCTCCTGCCTCGGTCCCCCAAACTGCTGGAATTATAGGCATGAGCCAACATGCCCAGCTCTCTTCATTTTTTTTTTTTTTTTGAGACAGAGTTTTGCTTAAAGATCTTGGCTCACTGCACCCTCCACCTCCCAGGTTCAAGTGATTCTCCGGCCTCAGGCTCCCGAGTAGCTGGGATTATAGGTGCGTGCCACCATGCCCAACTAATTTTGTATTTTTAGTAGAGACGGGATTTCACCATGTTGGCCAGGCTGATCTCAAACTTCTGACCTCAGGTGATCCACCCACCTTGGCCTCCCAAACTGCTGGGATTACAGGCGTGAGCCACTGCGCCTGGCCTCTCTTCACTTTTTTGATGGTGTTCTTTGAAGCACAAAAGTTTAAACTTTTAAAAATTTACAAATCGGCCAGTCGCAGTGGCTCATGCCTGTAATCCCAGCACTTTAGGAGGCCGAGGTGGGAGAATCACTTTAGGCCATGAGTTCGAGACCAGTCTGGCCCACACAGCGAAAACCCATCTCTCCCAAAAATACAAAAATTAGCCAGGAGTGGTGGCGCGTGCCTGTAGTCCCAGCTATTCGGGAGGCTGAAGCAGGAGAATTGCTTGAACCCGGAAAGTGGAGGTTGCAGTGAGTCGAGGTCACGCCATTGCACTCCAGCCTGGGTCACAGAGTGAAAGTTTTAACTTTGATGGAGTCCAATCTGTCTATTTTTTTTCTTTGGTTGCGTGTGCTTTTGGTGTCATATCTAAGAAGCCATTGCCTAATCCAGCGTCACCGAGATTTATGCCTGTGTTTTCTTCTAAAAGTCTCATAGTTTTAGTCTTATACTTAGGTCTTTGATTTAAGCTAAATATTGTACATGGTGTGAGATAAGGGTCTAACTTTATTATTTTGGATGTGGCTATTAAGCTGTCCCAGCACCATCTGTTGAAAAGACTATTCTTTCCTGATTGAGTGTATTTATTTATTTATTTATTTATTTATATATTTTTGAGGCAGAGTCTTGTTCTGTTGCCCAGGCTGGAGTGCAGTGGCACGATCTTGGCTCACTGCAAGCTCCGCCTCCCTGGTTCACGCCATTCTCCTGCCTCAGCCTCCCGAGTAGCTGGGACTACACGTGCCCGCCACCATGCCTGGCTAATTTTTTGTATTTTCAGTAGAGACGGGGTTTCCCCTTGTTAGCCAGGATGGTCTCGATATCCTGACCTCGTGATCCACCCACCTCGGCCTCCCAAAGTGCTGGGATTACACGTGTGAGCCACCGCGCCCGCCCCAATTGAGTGTTTTTGGAATGCTGTTTTGAAAATCGATTGACCATGTATGTAAGGGTTTATTCTTGAACTCTTCATTCTACCTCATTGATCTCTATGTCCATCCTTATGCCCAGTCCCCCAACTTTCTTCTTTTTCAAGACTGGTTATTCTGGATCTTTTGTATTTTCATATAAAATTTAAGGCAAGCTTTTCAATTTTTTTTTTTTTTTTTTTTAAAAGCAGCTGGGATTTTGATAGGAATTGAGTTGAATCTGCAGATCAACCTGGAAAGTATTGCCATCTTAGTAAGTATTCCCATCAATACTTAGGAAAGTATTGCCATCAATAGTAAGTCTTCTGATCTATAAACATGGGATATGTTTCCATTGACTTAGGTCTTTAAAAATGTTCTTTCAGGCCGGGCATGTTGGCTCATGCCTGTAATCCCAGCACTTTAGGAGGCCGAGGTGAGCAGATCACTTGAGGTCAGGAGTTTGAGACCAGCCTGGCTAACATGGTGAAACCCCATCTCTACTAAAAATACAAAAAATAGCCAGGTGTGGTGGCAAATGCCTGTAATCCCAGCTACATGGAAGGCTGAGGCAGGAGAATTGCTTGAACCCGGGAGGTGGAATCTGCAGTGAGCCGAGATTGCGCCACTGCACTTCAGCCTGGGTGACAGAGCGAGACTTTGTCTCAGGAAAAAAAAAAAAAGTTCTTTCAGTTATATTTTGTAGTTTTCAGTGTGCAGATCTTGCACATCTTTTGTTAAATTTATTCCTAAGTATTTTAATCTTTGTGATGCTATTGTGAACGGTTTCCTTAATTTGACTTTCTGATTGTTCATTACTATTTGTAGAAATGCAACATATTTTTGTATATTGATTGTGTTTCCTGCAGCCTTGCTAAATTCATTTATTCATCCTAATATTTGTTGATTTTTTTTTGTGTGTGTGTGTGTGTGTGTGTGTGTGTGTGTGATCCTTATGATTTTCCATATATAAGACCATGTCATCTGTGAATAAAGATAGTGTTACTTCCTTTTTAATCCAGATGCCTTTTATTTCTTTTCCTTGCTTGGTTGTTCTGGTTTGTCTCTAGTAGAATGTTGAACAGAAGTGGTAACAACAGAGATCCTTGTCTTATTCCTAATCTTGAGGGGAAAGCATTTAGTCTTTCATTATTAAGTATGATGTTAGCTGGATTTCATAAGTACCCGTTTTCACTTCAGGTTCACTTTCAGTTTCAGGTTGAAGAAGCTTCCTTCTATTTCTAGTTTTTTTTTGTTTTACCATGAAAGGATGTTAAATTTTGTCAAATGCTTATTTATTTATTTATTTATTTATTTTTTAAGATGGAGTTTTGCTCTTGTTGCCCAGGCTGGAGTGCAATGGCGTGATCTCAGCTCACCGCAACCTCCACCTCCTGGGTTCAAATGATTCTCCTGCCTCAGCCTCTTGAGTAGCTGGGATTACAGGCATGCGCCACCATGCCCAGCTAATTTTTTGTATTTTTAATAGAGATGGGGTTTCTCCATGTTGATCAGGCTGGTCTCGAACTCCCAACCTCAGGCGATACGCCCACCTCGGCCTCCCAAAGTGCTGGGATTACAGGCGTGAGCCACCGTGCCCGGAATTTTTTTTTTTTTTTTGAGTCGGAGCCTCACTTTGTCGCCTCCTTCTGATGCCTGTAATCTCAGGCCCTGGAGTGCAGTGGTGCGATCTCGGCTCACTGTAGCCTCCACCTCCCGGGTTCAAGTGATTCTCGTGCATCAACCTCCCAAGTAGCTGGGATTACAGGCACGCACACCACCACGCCCAACTAATTTTTGTATTTTTAGTAGAGACAGGGTTTTGCCATGTTGGCCAGGCTGGTCTCCAACTTCTGGCCTCAAGCAATTCACCCACTTTGGCCTCCTAAAGTGGAGGGATTACAGGGGTAAGCCATCGCGCCTGGCCAATTTTTAAATTTTTGGGTAGAGACAGGGTCTCACTATGTTGCCAGGCTGTTCTTGAACTCCTGGGCTCAAGCGATCCTCCAGCATCAGCCTCCCAAAGCACCGGGATTACGCTGTGAACTGCCATGCCCAGCCCTGGATTTTCATATCTTGAGTCAACTTGGCATTCTTGGAATAAATCCCACTTAGTTGTGGTGTATAATTCTTTCTGTACTTTACTGGATCTGATTTGCTAGTGTTTTGTGGAGAATTTTTGTATCTATATTCATGACAGATGCTGGTTTGTATGTTTTTTTTTTTTTTTCTTTTTTCTTGTGATGTCTTTGCTTGGATTTAGCTTCGGGATAGAACTAGCCTCCTATAATGAGTTGGGAGTGTTCTCTAATTTTCTATTTTTTGGAAAAATTTGTGGAGGATTGGTATTAATTCTTTCTTAAGTGTTTGGTAGAAATTACCAATATAGTTATCTTGGCCTTGGTTTTTTTTTTTTTTGTATGTAGTTTTTAAAAAATATTACTAATTCAATTCCTTTACTTGTTACAAATCGATTAAGATTTTCTATTATTTCTTGAGTCAATGTGGTAGTTTGTATCTTTTTAGGAATTTGTCTATTTCATCTAAGTTATATAATTTGTTGGCATACAATTATTTATCTTATTTTCTTATAATACTTTTACTTCTGTAATGTCAGTAGTAGGCCGGGTATGGTGGCTCATGCCTGTAATCTCAGCACTTTGGGAGGCCAAGGAGGGCAGATCACCTGAGGTCAGGAGTTCGAGACCAGCCTGGCCAACATAGCAAAACCCCGTCTCCACTAAAAATACAAAAATTAGCTGGGTGTGGTGGCGCACACCTGTAATCCCAGCTACTTGGGAGGCCGAGGCAGGAGAATTACTTGAACCTGGGAGGCAGAGGTTGCAGTGAGCCAAGATGGCGCCATTGCACTCCAGCCTGGGCAACAGAGCGAGACTCCGTCTCAAAAAAAAAAAAGTCATTATCAATGTCCCCCCTTTGATTCCTTATTTTAGTAACATGAATCTTCTTTCTTTTATTCTTGGTTAGTCTTACTAAAGGTTTATCAATTTTGTTGATCTTTTCAAAGGACCAACTTTCAGTTTTGTTGATTTTCTCTTGTTTTTCTATTCTTTATTTCATTCATTTCCACACTAAATTTTAATATTTCCTTCCTTCCACTTTGGGTCTAGTTCGCTCTTTTATTCCCTTGTTTCTTAAGATGAAAGTTTATGGTTTTGCTTTGAGATCTTTCTTCTTTCACAAAAATACACTTTATTTTTTGGAGCAGTTTTAGGTTCACAGCAAAATTAAGTGAAAAGCACAGAGTTCTCATATGTCCCCTCCCTCCACACTGAGCCTTCCCCACCACCAACATCCCGACCCCCAACATTTCCACCAGAGGGCTTCCTTTGCCGTAGTGGTGAACCTGCACTGGCCCAGCACCATCGTTTTTTGTTGTTGTTGTTTGGAGATGGAGTCTCGCTCTGTCTCCCAGGCTGGAGTGCAATGGCACGATCTCAGCTCACTGCAACCTCTGCCTTCCAGGTTCAAGTGATTCTCCTGCCTCAGCCTCCTGAGTAGCTGGGATTACAGGCACAAGCCACCACACCCGGCTAATTTTTGTATTTTTAGTAGAGGCCGGGTTTCCTTCCCGAAGGATGCTAAAGAAAGACCCATCCTGCAGCTCTGTCCTTACAGAAGGACATCGAGGAATTACCCACTGGGGAGCTCTGTCCTTCCCGAAGGACGCTGAAGAATTAACCTCAGGTCTTCAAGAGGGAACCCGTCTAACAACCATCGAGGAACCAAGGCCTCCCAGCAACCACGTGCGTGAGCTTGGCATGCGTCCTCCCTGTTGGGGCCTTCAGGGGACAGCAGCCCTAGCCCAGCCAACAGCCTGATGCAGCCTCACAAGAGACCCTGAGCCAGGATCTCCCACCACGCAGCTCCCCCGCTCTTGACTCACAGAGACTGCGCTGACGACGTTTGCTGGTTTCAGCTTCTCAGTTTTGGAGTAATTTGTAACACAGCAATGGGTAATAAATACAGAGGGAGGAGAGAACACAGACCTGTGGAATTACCGTACACACTTTCTGAGGGTCCCTAAGCATCAGAGATATAAATCAAAGGCCTACCGTCCACTTTCACCCAATATGAAATTGCAGTAAAAAGTGGTATAAAGAGATAAAATGCACACATCTGCCACAGGGGTTCCGAGGACAAGCTGGTGGCCAGGGGAACCGGGGAGGGAGCCTGTGTTCCTAGCTCAGGAGTGTTTTTCGAGCACACATCTCTGAACTGGATTCTGAAACATGGTGGGATGTTGAGATGCAGATGGAAAGTCTTTCCAAATGCCAAGGTCACCACAAGCCAAGGCCAACCAAGGATCAGATTGGGTATATTCTTAAGAATGGGCTGGGCGCAGTGGCTCACGCCTGTAATCCCAATGCTTTGGGGGGCCAAGGCGGGTGGATCACTTGAGTCCAGGAGTTTGAGACCAGCCTGGACAATATGGTGAAATCCCATCTCCACTAAAAATACAAAAAAATTAGTTGGATGTGGTGGCATGGCTGTAATCCCAGCTACCCAAGAGGCTGAGGTGGGAGGATCACCTAAGCTAGGGAAATAGAGGCTATAGTGAGCCGTGATTGTGCCACCGTACTCCAACCTGGGCGACAGGAGTAAAACCCTGTCTCAAAAAAAAAAAAAAAATGGCTGGTAATTTAACAAAGACATGTGCCCACTCTCTTTAAGCATTGTTTCAGCAGCCTCAACCTCCCTCGCTTAAGAGATCTTCCCAGCTCAGCCTCCTGAGAGTAGTTGGAACTATAGGCCCGGACCACCATGTCCAGCTAATTTTTTAAGTTTTTTATAGAGATGGGGTCTCGCTATGTTGCCCAGGCTGATCTTGAACTCCTGGCCTCACGTGATTCTCCTGTCTTGGCCACATCGTCGGGATTACAGGTGTGAGTCACTGCATATGGTTGGGCTAAGCCATGTTTCTTAAACTTAATTGTTTCTTTGCCACCTTTATTAATATTTTTTCTTTTGCTAGGCCCATTTTAAAGTTAAGGAATGCTTTTTAATACAAGTATCCTATATATCTTAATTTGTTTAATTTTTAAGTTGATGGGCTAGCTTTTTAAAATGTTAGTTTTGCCCTAAAGAATAATATCCATCTAACCATTCATATTTGTTCCAATAAAGATAAAATGAACCTGCCTGACGCGGTGGCACTCACCTGTAATCCAAGAGCTTTGGGAGGCCGAGGCGGGTGGATCACCTGAGGTCAGGAGTTCGAGACCAGCCTGGCCAACATGGAGAAACCCTGTCTCTACTAAAAATACAAAAATTAGCCAGGTGTGGTGGTGCACAACTATAGTCCCAGCTGCTTGGGAGGCTGAGGCAGGAGAATTGCTTGAGCCCGAGAGGCGGAGGTTGCAGTGAGCGGAGATCGCACCATTGCACTCCAGCCTGGCGGACAGAGACAGACTCCATCTCAAAATAAATAAATAAGTAAATAAATAAATATTTTAAAAGCCTGCAGATTTCAGTCCTAAACTCTCTGCCCAAGCAGTTTGACTCAGAGGGAAAATGTCGCCTCTGTTATGTTCTCTCACATTGCACGGCTTGGGCTTCCATCTGGTTCGGTTGTGTGGTCAGGAACGTACAAGTCAGTCTCTGCCGCTGTTTTCTTTCCCACCTGCAAGTTGAGAGTGCTGAGACTGCCCTCTTAGCCTTGGGGTATTAAAGAGACCAGACAGGGAAGGGGCCCAGCGCAGCGCCCAGGACAGAACATGTGCTCGGCACTTAACCGCTGCTGCTACCAGCGGGATCGTCCTTGAGAGCGGTAGAATCCAATTTAGGGACAGGATTAGACAGAGTGTGGGCTTTGACTTGCACCCTCTACAAGAGTGTGGGGAGGGGACAGAGGCCAGATGGCCCCAGGCAGGGACGATGTGGCAGCATTGCTGTGTCCCCGTGGCCTGGTCCTGCATTTGCCGCCCGCGTCCTCTCTGCCTGAATCCTGTTCCTAGTGCCTGGTCGTCCCTCAGAGCTCTGCTGCGTTCCACCTGTTCACCAGACATCCTGGGCTCCAGTTTCCATCTGCCCTTGTGCTGCTCTGTCATGGCATTTTGTATCCTTTTATGATAGTCTTGACGACTGTGCACGTACCCGACAGGGCTCGGCCCTCTGGGGGGGTAGACGGACGCCACACTGAATCCATCTCTTGCCCGAGATGGTAGGATCCTGTCTAAAGCTGATGAGGAGGTTGGGGGTGGGAAGAACATGGCTGGAAGAGCGTCCGGAGCCCACCCCTGTTATGGAGCGATAGAAGCCCCCCCTTTCTGTGGCCCCCACCCCACCTTTATCCTCTCTAATGCAAAACTGTAAAGCAGTTAGGGTAATTTAGTCCAGCAGGTTCTGAAGTCTCACCCAGTTAGATGCTCCCTACAGTGTATTCCGTAAAATCACAATTCTCAGGGCCATGATTCAAGCAGCCGCCCAGTGGAGTTGGGCTAAACAGACACCTCTGGTTTCATTATTTATTTATTTATTTATTTATTTATTTATTTATTTATAGACGGTGTCTCGCTCTGTTGCCCAGGCTGGAGTGCAGTGGCATGATCTCGGCTCTCTGTAACCTCCTTCTCCCAGGCTCAAGAGATTCTCCTGCCTCAGCCTCCCGAGTAGCTGGGATTACAGGCATGCACCACGCCCAGCTAGTTTTTGTATTTTTAGTAGAGACAGGGTTTCACCATGTTGGCCAGGCTGGTCTTGAACTCCTGACCTCAAGTGATCTGCCTACCTCAGCCTCCCAGAGTACTGGGATTACAGGTGTGAGCCACCACACCTGGCTCATTTCTTTTTACATCAACACTGAGGCAACTTGAAATACATCCATTCATCTCAGCTGTAAAATAGCGGAATATTTCTTTATTCCTGGGAACATAAGGTATTAGTTGTATCTTCATCAGCAATTTTGGAAGGAGGGCATGTTGAGGCCTCTGTCAGTGTGAGCTGGCAGAGACAGGGCAATTAGTTGATGTAGCAGTTACCTATGGCTGTGTAACAAACCACCCCAAAACCGAATGGCTTAGAGGAACCATTATTTAGCTCATGATTCTATGGGCTACAGGTGTGAGGCACGGCACCTCGCCCTGCATTCTAGCGGGATCAGCTGGGCTCCGCTAGGCAGTTCTTCCTCTGGTTTTGTCTGAAGTCAGCTGGAGGCCGGTGGCCTCACTCTCGTGCCCGGTGGCTGGCTGGCAGTCACCTGGTCACAGGGTAGGCTGTGCCTCTCGTCACCCAGCAGGTTAGCCTAGGCTTGTTCACAGGGCGGGATAACAGGGTTTCCAGGACTAGCAAGAAAACAAGCCCCAATATGCAAGTGCTTTTAAAGCTACTTCTTTCTTTTTAAAAACAATTTATGTACTTATTTATTTATTATTATTTTATTTTTGAGATAGAGTTTCGCTCTTGTTGCCCAGGCTGGAGTGCAATGGCGCAATCTCAGCTCACTGCAACCTCTGCTTCCTGGGTTCAAGCGATTCTCCTGCCTCAGCCTCTGGAGTAGCTGGGATTACAGGCGCCTATGGTTATTTCTTGATCATGTACTAAACAAGGAGTGGATTATTCACACGTTTTCCAGGGAAAAGGGCAGGCAACGCTGGAACTGAGGGTTCCTCTTCCTTTCAGACCATGTAGGGTAACCTCTGGACCTTGCTGTGGCATTTGTAAACTGTCATGGTGCTGGTGGGAGTGTCTTTCATTATAATATATTAGTGTCTAATGTATTATAATTAGTGTATAATGAGCAATGGGGATGACTGGAGGTGACTTTCATTGCCATCTTGGTTTTGATGGGTTTTGGCGGGTGCCTTTAGTGTATCCTGTTTTATCAGCAGGGTCTTTGTGACCTGTGTCTTGTGATACCAGTCCTGTTGACCTCCTATCTCGTCCTGTGGCTAAGAATGCCTGGCCTCCTGGGAATGCAGCAGCCCAGCAGGTCTCAGCCTCGTTTTACCCAGCCCCGATTCAAGATGGAGTTGCTCTGGTTCAAATGCCTCTGACAGTAGGAGGAGCTGAAGATTATTGGGGCTATTAGTGCAATGGACCATAGCTGGGAAATGGCAGGGCCGGGGGGCTGTGGAGCTGACATCTGAGTGTGGGGTGCAGTTATCTGGAAGGCTGCTTTTGAGGAAAGGTGTTAGGAGTGCCCCCACTAGGACACCTGATGGGGACGAGACCACAGGAGGATGGCAGGAACACGGCTGCAGGAGCTTCAGCCAAGGAGGGAACAGGAACTCCAGCAGGCGCTGGAGCCCTGTGCCCTGTCCAGCATCCTGGAACAGGCGTAGCAAGGAAGGAAGGGTGTGGCAGGGGTTGAGGTGCCGCCCAGCGCACCAGGGTTTGGAAGGGCACGCCCGCCTGTTTGGGAGCAGACACTTCAGAGGCACTCAATAAACACTAGTCCCTGTTTTATTGACTAATGATAGTCAATGTGAAAGGAAAATAAGCCTTGGGACCCCAAAATTACTAAGTTATTTATACTGAAGGGAAAAATCAAGCAGGGAACTGCTTAGGGCCAACCTGCCTCCCATTCTATTCAAAGTCATCCCTCCGCTCACTGAGATAAATGCATATCTGATTGCTTCCTTTGGAAGGCTGATCAGAAACTCAAAAGAATGCAACCATTGGCTGGCGCGGTGGCTCACGCCTGTAATCCCAGCACTTTGGGAGGCCGAGGCAGGCGGATCACTTGAGGTCAGGAGTTCGAGACCAGCCTGGCCAACATGGTGAAACCCCATCTCTACTAAAAATACAAAAATTAGTCGGGTGTGATGGCTCACACCTGTAATCCCAGCTACTCAGGAGGCTGAGGCAGGAGAATCACTTGAACCCAGGAGGCAGAAGTTGCAGTAAGCTGAGACCACACCACTGTACTCCACCCTGGGTAACAGAGGGAGACTGCCTCAAAAAATAAATAAATAAATAACCAGAATGCAACCATTGGTCTCTTATCTACTATGACCTGGAAGACTCTTCCCCACTTCAAGTTGCCCTCTTTCCAGACCAAACCAATGTCCTCTGTATTAGTCCATTTTCACATTGCTATGAAGACATCATACCCAAGACTGGGTCATTTAGAAAGAAAAGAGATTTAATTGACTCATAGTTTTGCAGCGCTGGGGAGCTCTCAGGAAACTTACAAATTGTGGTAGAAGGGGAAGTGGCATGTCTTACATGGTGGCAGGCGAGAGAGTGGTGAGTGAAGGGGGAAAAGCCCTTGATAAAACTATCAGATCTCATGAGAACCCCCCTCACTATCACAAGGACAGCAGGGTGGAACCCCGGGACCCAGTCACCTCCCACCAGGTCTCGACCTAAACGTGTGGGGATGTGGGGATTGCCATTCAAGATGAGATTTGGGTGGGGACACAAAGCCAAACCATTCGAGATGAGATTTGGGTGGGGACACAAAGCTCAACCCTATCAACATCTTACATATATTGATCGATGTCTCGTGCCTCCCTAAAATGTATAAAACCAAGCTGTGTGCTGAGCACCTTGGGCAGAGGTCGCCAGGCCCTCCTGAGGCTGTGTCACAGATGTGCACCTTTAACTTTGGAAAAAATAAACTTCCTAAATTGAGACTTGTCTCAGATATTTGGGGTTCATATCATAGACCAGGGCAAATGCCTAGTCATGAGCCTGGGTACATGGAAAGAGATGGGGACAGGCCACTCATGAGCAAAGCCAGCTGGGGCCCCACAAGCATGGGAAGGGAGTGAGGCCCCACCTCATGAGCAGACTCTGCACTCACCCATCCAGGGGGGCTGTTGGAGGTGCAGGCAGTTGGTATTGGCAGCCGGGCCACAGGGGAATCGTGCACATCTGAACTGAACCCTCCTCCTCAGGACAGACATTTTTAAATTTCACTTAAACCACGACCTCTTCATTATATAGGTTATAAAATAAACTGTTGCCGGGTTTGCTGTGAAATGGCTTGCCTCTCAGCAGGCTGCCTGCTGTGTGTATTAATCAGAGTTCAATTACAGACCGTCTGGTGTTTGTGCGTGTCCCAGCTGGGCTGGTGCATGCTGTGACAATTGTCCACGCCTGGGGATCTGTCTACTGAATCCCCAAGGAGAAAGCTTCCTTCGTGGATGGCAGGACCGTTTCCACGCACACAGCCCTGGTCGGGGGAGCTGGAGTTTGCCTAGGTCCCTCCGTAGTCACAGTGATAGGTGCCCAGGCCCCTCCGCAGTCACAGTGATAGGTGCCAGGTCCCTCCGCAGTCACAGTGATAGGTGCCCAGTTCCCTCCGCAGTCACAGTGATAGGTGCCAGGTCCCTCAGTCACAGTGATAGGTGCCAGGTCCCTCTGCAGTCACAGTGATGGGTGCCAGGCCCCTCCGCAGTCACCGTGATAGGTGCCCAGTTCCCACCTCAGTCACAGTGATAGGTGCCCAGGCCCCTCCGTGGTCAGAGTGACAGGTGCTAGGTCCCTCTGCAGTCACAGTGATAGGTGCTAGGTCCCTCCGCAGTCACAGTGATAGGTGCTAGGTCCCTCCGCAGTCACAGTGATAGGTGCCCAGGCCCTTCCGCAGTCACAGTGATAGGTGCTAGGTCCCTCCGCAGTCACAGTGATAGGTGCTAGGTCCCTCCGCAGTCACAGTGATAGGTGCCCAGTTCCCTCCGCAGTCACAGTGATGGGTGCCAGGTCCCTCCGCAGTCACAGTGACAGGTGCTTCATATTTGTATCTCATTTTATCCTCATGACAACTCTGCTGTCAATTCTGATTCTGAGGTCAAACAAGGCTGGGAAGCTGGGTGACCTGGCAGGGACCTGGCCATTGCAGGGAGGGGGCTGCGGACGGAGCCAGAGGCTTCCAAAGAGACGGGAAAGCATCCAGTTTGCAGACCAGGAATCAGTACATCTGGAACCGTGAGGCAAGGAGGAGCTTCGAGATCATCCAGGGGGACCTCCTACCTGCCGGGGACTTCCACTCCTATTCCCTCCCAAGCAGCTCTCTGCTCACAGTCTCTGTGTAAGCAACGGTCCCTGACAGCTTCAACTTGGGGAGGGCAGGGGAAGGATGAGCTGCCTCTCCTATTTAATTTTAATTTAAATTTTTTTTTGAGGAGTTTCGCTCTTGTTGCCCAGGCTGGAGTGCAATGGTGCGATCTCGGCTCACCGCAACCTCCGACTCCTGGGTTCAAGTGATTCTCCTGCCTCAGCCTCCCAAGTAGCTGGGATTACAGGTATGTGCCACCATGTCCAGCTAATTTTGTATTTTTAATAGAGACGGGGTTTCTCCATGTTGGCCAGGCTGGTCTCGAGCTCCCAACCTCTGGTGATCTGCCCGCCTCGGCCTCCCAAAGTGCTGGGATTACAGGCGTGAGCCACCGCGCCTGGCCTATTTTAATTTTAATTTTATTTTTTTGTGAGACAGGGTCTCACTCTGTCACCCAGGTTGGAGTGCAGCGGTACCATCAGGGCTTGCTGCAGCCTCAGCCTCCCCAGGCTGAAGTGGTTCTCCCACCTCAGCCTCCCAGGTAGCTGGGACTATAGGTTCATGCTACCATGCCTGGCTAATGTTTCTATTTTTTGTAGAAACAGGATCTCGCCATGTTACACAGGGTGGTTTCGAATTCCTGGACTCACACAATCCTCCCGCCTCTGCCTCCCAAAGTGCTGGGATTACAGGTGTGAGCCACCACATCAGGCCTGCCCCTCCTATTTTGTTCCAATTATTTACGAGGGGTTGAGCAAAGAAGCTCTCCAGCTAAAGGGACTGAGCTTTTACTCCCTGCAGCTGTGTGACCTCAGGCAAGTTAGTCTCGGAAGGTGCTTCTGCTACACAGGTATAGCATGCCATGAACGGGGGCTTTGTCATGACGACCACGATGGTGATGATGGTGCTTTGCCCTGATTCTGATTGGCTGGGTTGGTGAAGGGCTGGGGTGCTTCCTCCTGAAGGTGATCCTATGAACCGCCCCAGAGAAACACTCCTGCATCTCACAGCGTTCTCCCTCGTGCTCTTGTCTTCTCTTTCCTACCAGATTCCAAATTCTCTTCCCAAGAGGTGGCATGAACCTGTGAGTCCCAGCTGCAACCAACAGAGAAGCAAGCGAGCCGTGAACCTCATCGATCCGGCCAGTCAGCACCTCCGTCTCTCCACGCAGGCCAGGTGGCTCCAGATGCGGGACTTGCTCCTGGCAGCTTGGCAGCTTTGCAGCTTTGCATCTGTAAGGCGTATATTACCGTAGAGTGCTTTTCAGCGTTACATAAGTCATTCGTATGTATTGCAGAAAGACAGCGAGGAAAAGAGAGACTGCACTTGTTATGGGCTGAGCGTTCAGGTGGGCGTGCCTCCCCCGGATTCACCTGTCAAAGCCCCAACCCCCAGCACTGCAGAAGGGGACTGCGTTGGAGATGAGGTCCTCACAGAGGTGATTAGGGTAAAATGAGGTCGCTAGGGTGGGCCCTGATTGGACCGGTGTCCTTGTAAGAAGAGCAGATGAGGACAGACACACACACAGAGGGACAGCCCTGTGGGGATACACGGAGGAGTCGGCGTCTGCATGCCAAGGAGAGGCCTCAGAGGAACCAGCCCTGCTGACACCTTGATCTTGGATGTTCAGCCCCCAGGATGTCAGAGGATGCGTGTCTGTGGCCGAGGCCCTGCAGCCTGTGTGCTGTGCACAGCAGCCCGGGAAGCAAATCCAGCACATCAACAAGGCTGAGAAAACACTTGTCTTTGCGGCCCCTACTGCCGGAGGCCACCACACGAGCAAGGGGCTGCAGTCTCCCTGCTGTCAGAAGTTTGCTCTGTGTTCTGGCAGACAGCACCCCCATCGTGGAGCTTCCGGGAGACGGGTGCTGCTCAGGCTGGGTGCACAGAAGGGCCAAGGCAGGGTAGGGCTCCTGTATCAGGGCCCGGGTGGGGTTGCCGGGTACAGCCCTGTCAGGGAAAGGCCCCCGAGGAGGTGGATTTGTAAAGGACAGACTCAGGGACAGAATTTCAGAGAAACTCGTCAGTGGCTTTCCCCTAGTGCAAATTCACCTGATACTCGCGGAGACCTATGAGACCAGCTGGTCAGCGCCCACCACCGCTTTTGACCACGCAGGAAGCAGACGCTCTGAACAAGACAATGTGCCCCCAACAGAACCCCCACACCGCTGACACGCACACAGACTCCTCCAGCATAGCCACCCCTCCCCACGAGGCGCACAGACTCCTCCAGCATGGCCACCCCTCCCCATGGAGCCGTGTCCGGAGGCAGAGGGGGCTTGTGGTGGCAGAGAACACGTGCCTCCCGCCCCTCACTGCACCGCGCTCAGGGGGCACCAGGGACTGAGCCCTTCCAGCTCCGGCAAAACAGAGGAACAAAAACACACTGATTTTATGAGACCAAGTTCAGTCTGTGGCCTGTCCCGACACTAAAGGATGGGCTTATTTTTTAGTGTAATGACAGGACCAGGGACGTTAGGAAATTAACCAGATGAGAACTGAAACTGAGGGAGAGGCCCTGAAGTACCTCCTCTAGTGTTTCCAAGAAGTGACACTAGGCTTGTGTTTAGCGGCCTGTGTGGTGCCTTCCCAGGCAGGAGGGGTGTGGTCTGAGTGCCCTTATCTAACGCTCACTTGTCTCCCAGAACGAACTCTTCTGTTGCTTGAGTTTCAAAATTTTTTTTTTTTTTTTTGACAGAGTCTCGCGCTGTCACCCAGGCTGCAGTGCAGTGGTGCAATCTCATCTCATTGCAACCTCTACCTCCTGGTTTCAAGTGATTCTCCCACTTCAGCCTCCTGAGTAGCTGGGATTTCAAGCACCCACCACCACGCCCGGCTAATTTTTGTATTTTTGTAGAGATGGGGTTTCACCATGTTGGCCAGGCTGGTCTTGAACTCCTGACCTCAAATGATCTACCCGCCTCAGCTGGGATTACTGAGATTACAGGCGTGAGCCACTGTGCCCAGCCTTGAAATTTTTTTGGGTGGGAGGGGTACACAGAGAGCAAGTTTATATGGTGAATGCTGATGGCAAACATCATCCAAGAGAGACAAGATGGGAAAGGTGCTGCAACCAGAGGCCCTAGGGAGCCTCAGGCTAGATACGAAATGTCACCCAGGGAAAGGCCTGGGCTCTGGGGAGGCTGGCAAGACCCTCAGCCATTCAGCAGCCTGCGGACAAGCACTTCGGAGTCAATGCAACCACTGCTGTCCTCATGCCCTGCCACCAGCATCTCTCCTCCTCTCTCTGTCATCTCCTCACCCAGTGAGACAAGAACATGCTGGATTTCCGCGCTCATGACGGTGCCATTCTCTTCCTTGTCAAACACCTGAAGTCTTTCCACATAATCCTCTTAGGTGCCCTGGTCCCTGTTCCCTGCCACTGTCTGCAGCAGGGGCAGGAAGTGCTCAAAGTCCAGCACCTTCACGTTCATCTCATCACTCTTGGGGTTCCCCAGGACCTCGAGCGCCGTGGCATTGGTGGGGTTCTGGCCCAGGGCCCTCATCACGCCCCCACAGGGGCTGGAAGGACCTTGCCATCACCTGTTCAGTCAAACAGCCGGAAGGCAGCCTTGAACTCTGTGCTGGTCCTTGGTGAAGTCACACGTCTTGACTGCTCAGCTCTACAGGAACTTTCCCTGTAGTAATGGCTCAGTGAAATATATATATATATATATATATATATATATATTTTTTTTTTTTTTTTTTTTTTTTTTTTTTTTGAGACGGAGTCTCACTGTTGCCCAGGCTGGAGTGCAGTGGCACAATCTCAGTTCACTGCAAGCTCCACCTCCCGGGTTCATGCCATTCTGCCTCAGCCTCCCGAGTAGCTGGGACTACAGGCGCCCGCTACCACGCCCAGCTGGGTTTTTTTGTATTTTTAGTAGAGACGGGGTTTCACCATGTTAGCCAGGATGGTCTCGATCTCCTGACCTCATGATCCGCCCGCCTCGGCCTCCCAAAGTGCTGGGATTACAGGCGTGAGCCACCGCACCTGGCCGGCTCAGTGAAATATTTTATAATCATGATCTATGTCTATGCCTAAATCGCCCTGCCTAAGACACTGAATAGCCTGAGAAAACTCCCTTTCGTGCTAACTCACTGGGCTTTTTTCTGGAAGACTTCCTTGGCCCCGCCGGCATCAGTACTTGAGCCGCTCCTTTCCCTATTTTTCGGGAATTAGGTGATATATTGGATCTGTGAGCCGTTGGGTTCTCCTGCACGCATTTAAAATACCAAATTGCCGGGTGTGGTGGCTCACACCTGTAATCTCAGCACTGTGGGAGGCTGAGGCAGGTGGATCACCTGAGGTCAGGAGATCGAGACCATCCTGGCTAACATGGTGAAACCCCATCTCTCCTAAAAATACAAAAATTAGCCGGGCGTGATGGCAGGTGCATGTAATCCCAGCTACTTGGGAGGCTGAGGCATGAGAATCGCTTGAACCCAGGAGGCGGAGGTTGCAGTGAGCTGAGATTGTGCTACTGCACTCCAGCATGGGTGACAAGAGCAAAATTCTGTCTCAAAAGGAAAGAAAAAAAGAAACAAATAAACAACAACAACAACAACAACAAAAAACCTGTTGGGCGTGGTGGCTCACGCCTGTAATCCCTGCACTTTGGGAGGCCAAGGTGGGTGGATCACCTGAGGTCAGGAGTTCGAGACCAGCCTGGCCAACATGGTGAAACCCTGTCTCTACTAAAAAAACAAAAATTAGCTGGGTGTGATGGCACGCACCTGTAATCCCAGCTACTTGGGAGGCCGAGGCAGGAGAATCGCTTGAACCCGGGAGGCGGAGATTGCAGTGAGCCGAGATCATGCCACTGCACTCCAATGTGGCTGACGAGCAAAACTCTATCTCAAAAATAAACAAACAAATCTGTCGGGTGTAGTGACTCATGCCTGTAATCCCAGCACTTTGGGAGGCTGAGGTGGGCAGATCACCTGAGGTCAGGAGTTCAAGATCAGTATGGCCAACGTGGTGAAACCCCGTCTCTACTAAAAACACAATATTAGCTGGGGGTGATGACACACTCCTGTAATCCTAGCTACTCAGGAGGCTGAGGCAGGAGAATCACTTGAATCTGGGAGGCAGAGGTTGTGGTGTAGTGAGCTGACTCGTACCATTGCACTCCAGCCTGGGCGACAAGAGCAAAACTCTGTCTCAAAACAAACAAACAAGCAAAAAAAAAAACCAAACAAATCTGTTGGGAAGCTAAAGTGGGAGGATCACTTGAGCCCAGGAGTTCAAGAGCAGCCTACCAACATAGTGAGACCCTGTCTCTACCGAAAAAAAGAAAACTTAGCCGAGTACGGTGGCTCGCAACTGTAGTCTTAGCTACTGGGGAGGCTGAGGTGGGAAGATCACTTGAGCCCAGGAGGTCGAGGCTGCAGTGAGCCGTGATCACACCACTGCACTCTAGCCTGAGTGACAGAACAAGACCCTGTCTCAAAACAAACTCCAAATTTGAACAGGTGAATTTTTTTGTTTTTTCGAGACAGAGTCTAGCTCTGTCGCCCAGGCTGGAGTGCAGTGGTGCACTCGGCTCACCGAAACCTCAGCCTCCTGGGTTCAAGCAATTCTCCTGCCTCAGCCTCCCGAGTAGCTGGGATTACAGGTGCCCGCCACCACGTCTGGCTAATTGTGTACTTCCAGTTGAGACGGGGTTTCACCATTTTGGCCAGGCTGGTCTTGAACTCCTGACCTCAGGTGATCCGCCCACCTCGGCCTCCCAAAGTGCTGGGATTGCAGGAGTGAGCCACCATGGCCTGGCTGTTAATTTTTAGAAAACGTAGGTATGTTTTGTTTGTTTGTTTTTTGCCCCAGAGTACAATTTGAAAAAATATTTGTGTAAAAGAGAAAAACTAAAGTTTTTGCTTGCTCGTGTGCACATGGCGTGTGTCCTGGTGTGCAGGCGTCTGGGAGGAAGAGGCCTTCCTTTGAGAGATGGCGTTTCCCTGTGTTTTCTGAGGGGGAAGTGCATGGCTAAGGAGTTGAAGTGGGTCTGTCCCCTTCCCTGTGGCAGGAGCCTGCTTGGGACAGTGGCTCCTGCCTTCATGAGGAGGCTTTAGTGAATTTAAGGGACCCGTGGATGTGTCTTCAGTTCGGAAACAGGGGCACAGGTGCCTGCCCTTGCCTGCAGAGTAGGGTGTGGGCCCCGGGAGGTGCTCTGGTCCAAGCCGCATTTCTAAGCAAGCGGGAGGCTGAGGTCTTCTTTGCGGGCCCCTGAGTCACACAGGCCTCCAGGCGGTGGACATTCAGTGGGGTTTGGGTCCTTTGCAGGTCCCTGGGTCACACAGGCCTCCAGGCGGTGGACACTCAGTGGGGTTTAGGTGCACGGGGCATGCGGGGTGTCGTAACCTCTGCGAAAGACTCCAGAGGGGAGTGGGACTGGCAGGTGAGCCTCAGACCCAGGCCCCGAGCAAAGGCTGGTGGCCAGGAGCATGGGGCCACACACCCCGCCTGCTCGGACTGGCTGGGGTGCCTGAAGAGGGCAGCCTCGGCCTGCACCCCAGCAGCCTCCACTTGGTCTCTCTCTGTCTCTGCTCCTCCCTCAGCCAGGACCTTGGAGCCCCTCAGACTCTGACACTCGCTGAGAGGGTGCGAAGCGTGGACCACAGCTCCCAGCTCTCACCTGCCCAGGCCCTGCGCTGGGCTTTGCAGGCCTGCGGTCTTTACCATGTGGTCACTTCACAGTGCGGTTACTGTCGCCCCACTTTGCAGGAGGAGATGGGGTCTGGACTCACCCAGGGCTGCTACTCTGTGCAGACACTTCCCCACCTGCTGGCGTTGGCCTGCTCTTGTGACCTTGACTTTGACCTCCAGGCTGATGAGGCCAGGCTCCTCTGGGAGTCGCTCTCTACTCTCTGCTGACCCCTGGGATGGGGGATGGATGTGTTACAGGAAACGGGTCCGGATCTAGACACCAAGAGGGGGTTCTTGGATCTTGCACAAGAAATATAATTCAGGGTGAGTCCGTAAAGTGAGAGCAGTTTATTAGGAAAATAACGGAATTAAGAATGGCTTACTCCATAGACAGAGCAGCCCCAGGACTGCTGGTCGCCCATTTTTATGGTTATTCTTGATGATATGCTAAACAAGGGGTGGATTATTCATGCCTCCCTTTTTTAGACCATATAGGGTAACTTCCTGACGTTGCCATGGCATTTGTAAACTTGTCATGGTGCTGGTGGGAGTGTAGCAGTGAGGACGGTCAGAGGTCACTCTTGTGGCCATCTTGCTTTTGGTGGGTTTTATCCAGTTTCTTCACTGCAAGCTGTTTTATCAGTAAGGTCTTTATGACCTGTATCTTGTGCCAACCTCCTAGCTCATCCTGTGACTTAGAATGCCTTACCTGTCTGGGAACGCAGCCCAGTAGGTCTCAGCCTTTTACTCAGCCCCTGTTCAAGACGGAGTCGCTCTGGTTCAAAAGCCTCTGACAGATGGCAACAATCTCACCGGACTCAGCGCCTCCAGACTGAACTCAGTTTCTCAAGAATCATTTCCAGGGGTGAGGTCTTAGTGCACCCAGGGTTTCTAATCTCTTTGCTGTGAAAGATCTTGTTTATAATTTTTGCCTCTGTGGAAGTCTATGTTTAAAAAATAATGTGTCTCCTAGGAAAAAAAGCTTTTGTTTGCATTGTTTTCCTATTACCTATTAGCCAAAAATAGTTAACGTCCATCCAGTAGAGATTAGTATCCACATGCCGGAGTTCGTGTATTTACAGCAAAGTTATTATCTTTCGTTTTGGTAAACTTTTACATCTGAGATAAATATAGAGTTGTCTTTGGGCTTTTAAGAATGCCGGAGTTACCCCGAGGGCCCCTGGCTCTCCCGGCATCCTCTTGGAGATCAGGGAAATCTGGGTGGGAACCTCCTCATTTTACAAAAAAAGAAACTAAGACCAAATGGGTAACGTCGTTGTTTAAGGTCACAGGCTGGCGCTGAGCCTTGGCTCTCAGCTCCCCTGGCAGTCGCGCGACTCAGCGTCCAGCCCTACCTGCTCCAGGGCCCTCCCTACTGCCAGCCGCTGCCTGTCCTCTCCCCTGACCTGCCTTGAGCCAGACTGGGCCCCCTGGGCCTTGGGCAGGGCTGGATGGGCAAGTTGTCCAATGAGGCCCCCTCAGAACTGGAAAGCCTCCTTCTGGGTGTGGAGGTGGGCAGCAATCTGCCATTTGGCCCTGGGGTCATCTCTCTGGCTCAGTTTGCTTATCTGTGAGCCCAGATGTCGGCAAGTTCAGGCTGAGAATTAGAGCAAATAATGAAGAGGGAGCCCCTTTCCCAGGGCCTGGCTCATATGCACCGTGGACAACAAATACCAAAAAGGCTGGGCACGTGGCTCACACCCGGAATCTCAGCACTCTGGGAGGCCGAGGTGGGTGGATCACTTGACGTCAGGAGTTCGAGACCAGCCTGGCCAACATGGTGAAACCCCACCACTACTAAAAATACAAAGATTAGCCGGGCGTGGTGGCAGGTGCCTGTCATCCCAGCTACTCTGGTGGCTGAATGAGGCAGAAGAATTGCTGGAACCCAGGAGGCGGAGGCTGCAGTGAGCCAAGATCGTGCCACTGCACTCCAGCCTGGGCGACAGAGCAAGTCTCTGTCTCAAACAAACAAATAAACAAAAAAACTACTTTTCTTCTTTTCATTCCTAGCAAAAATCCCCTCTCTGGACAAATACTACTCAAGGTCAGAATCTCCCTTTGCCCCCAGTTTTTCATTGAGGAGGCTGAGGATCTGAGTCTCTCTCTTTTTTTTTTTTTTGAGATCCAATCCAGTCTCACTCTGTTGCCCAGGCAGGAGTGCAATGGCATGATCTTGGCTCACCACGAGTCTCTTTCTTAATAACCAACCCCATTACCGGGTCAGGAGAAGCTGCTGCGCTGTGGCTGCATCAGGGCCTAGAGCCGGGCTGCCTGCCTCTGCTGCCCTGTGTGCTGGCGGATAAGGTAGGGAGGTTTGTTATGCCTCAGTTTCCTTAAAGGTAAAATGGGGTGTCAGTCGTCTCTACCTTGTGGCCTGGTTTTGGTTAATGAACTAATCTACACACATAACAAGGGCTCAACAAAGGTTAGCGATGACGTTTCCTGCCAATCTGAGCACCTGCACACTGGAACCCTGTAAACAGTTGAGGGTGGGTGGCTGACTTCCAGTTCCCTTCAAATGCTTCTCTGAGTGTCTGCGCACCTGCGGCTCTCCAGGGGCTCGACTCAGGTCTCAGTGATCACAGATTCTAATGAAGAAAGGGTCTGTCTCTGTCATCCAGGCTGGAGTGCAGGGGGCACGTTCATGGCTCACTGCAGCCTCGACTCCCACCTAAGCCTCCTGAGTAGCTGAGACTACAGGTGTGCTGGACCACACCCAGCTAATTTTAATTTTGTTGCCCAGGCTGGTCTGTCAGTGAAGTTTTACACCAGTGAGACAAACATAATATTTGGGGCTCATCTAAAAGCTCAAAGTGAGGCTGAAGGAGCCATCCAATGTTTAAATGAAGAGGTACATCATAATTCATTTTTAATAAGTATGCAGAGCTGGGTGGCTCATGCCTCTAATCCTGGCATTTTGGGAGGCCAAGGTGAGAGGATCGTTGAAGCCAGGAGTCTGAGAGTGGCCTGGGTAACAGAATGAGACCCCATCTTTACTAAATAAATAATAAATAAATAAATAGCTGGGCGTGGTGGTGCATGCTTATAGCCCTAGCTATTTGAGAGGCTGAGGTGGGAGGATCCCTTCAGGGATCCTGCAGTGAGCTATGATCATACCACTGCACTCCTAGCCTGGGTGACGGGGGGACACCCTTTTTCTAATAGTAATAATAAATTATAAAATATATAAATTATAAAATGTGTGCTTATGATAAATCTAAACATTACTACCTAACATACATAGAAATTTTATTGTAATAAAATTTCTTTACCCTTGCCCATTCACTATCATATCTTCACAGAGCCTTCTGGACTTGTATCTGCCTATGTTGTTTTCTGTTTTTTTTTTTTTTTTATTTGTTTGTTTGTTTTGAGACAGAGTCTCGCTCTGTCGCCCAGGCCAGAGTGCAATGGCTAGATCTCAGCTCACTGCAACCTCTGCCTCCCGGGTTCAAGCAATTCTTCTGTCTCAGCCTTCTGAGTAACTAGGATTACAAGAGAGCACCAGCACGCCCAGCTAATTTTTGTATCTTGTTTTAGCAGAGGTGGAGTTTCACCATGGCTGGTCTGGAACCCCCGACCTCAAGTGATCCACCCGCCTTGGCCTCCCAAAGTGCTGGGATTACAGGTGTGAGCCACTGCATCTGGTCTTTTTTTTTTTTTTTTTTTTTGAGATAGAGTCTCACTGTGTCACCTAGGCTGGAGTGCAGTGGCACAATCTTGACTCACTGCAACCTCTGCCTCCCAGGTTCAAGCAGTTCTCTGCCTTAGCCTCCCGAGTAGCTGGGATTACAGGCGCCTGCACCACGCCAGGCTAATTTTTTTTTTGTATTTTTAGTAGATACGGGGTTTCACCATCTTGGCCAGTCTAGTCTTGAACTCCTGACCTCGTGATCCACCAGCCTCAGCCTCCCAAAGTGCTGGGATTACAGACAGGTGTGAGCCACCGTGCCTGGCCATTTTTTGTTTGTTTGTTTGTTTTAAATAAAGCACATCATTGTATATTCACTGCTCTGCACTATTTTTATTTTTTAATTTAACAGATCTTGGAGACTATATCCTATCTGTGTACACAGAATTATCACATCACAACTTTAGAAAATGTTTTAAATTAAAAATGCTAAATGAATGTTCTAGAGTTTATTTAACCAAGTGTCTGGTTGTTCTCAGGCTTCCTGTGATTATAGGTATAGCTGTAAGTCAGCACATCCCTGTATCCACACATCCCGTGGTGCCTGTGAGAATTTATCTGTGGCACAGATTACCCAAAATGACATGAGGGGTGAGAGGTTTTACAAATGGTGAATTCCACGAGCTTTGCAAATCTTAACTCCTTTTTCAAGAATAAGGGAACTGTGAGTAGGACAGGTGCACGGTACTTTCATTTTATTTTAGTCTAAGTATTTTCTGAAATAATTTGAGGAGGCTTAAAGGGAGGTGCAAGCTGGGTGCGGGGGCTCATACTTGTAATCCCAGCACTTTGAGAGGAGGAGGTGGGAGAATACTTGAGCTCAGGAGTTCGAGATCAGCCTGGGCAACACCGTGAGGCCCCATTTCTACAAAAAAAATTTTTTTTAAATTAGCCAGACATGGTGGTGTGTGCCTGTGGTCCCAGCTACTTGGGAGGCTGAGGTGGGAGGATCACTTGAGCCCTGGAGTTCAAGGCTTCAGCGAGCTATGATTGTACCACTGCACTCCAGGGTGGGCGACAGAGCAAGACCCTGTCTCAATAATAATAAAAATAAAAAAAAAAAAAAGGAAAAAAAGGGGCACAGTAGACAGTACCAGTACTTGGTATTTTAAATGGTTTTCAAATGAAGCCCACCCAAGCTCAGCAAGTCCAGCCGGGGCCTGAGGACCTGAGCAGGCGCCAGGTCACACAAGGTACCGGGCGCAGGAGGCGGAGCCCGCAGCGGGCCCTGCCCTGACAGCGGCACCTGCGCGGCCTCCGCAGGTTCTGGGATCGGCCGCTGGCCAGGTGCAAGGGAGGGGGGACGGCAGCCGCTGTCCTGGGGCTGAGAGGGCTCCGCGGTCTGGAGGGGACGGCGTCAGCGCCCGCGGGGGTTCGCAGGGCAGCCCCGGGGCGACCCCCACCCCCGCCACGGTCAAGTGTCGATACAGTGTTGCCAGCCGGGTGCCAACTATGAATAAGTCCAAGGGCGCGGCACGTGGGCCGAAACGCGATCCTTCCGCGGAGCCGCTGCGCGCAGGGCCGTCCCCACCGAGCCCGCCGCGCGGCGACCCCTGACGGCGACCCTAAGCCCCGGCCGACCAGGGCAGGAGCTCGCGCGCGAAACTTCCCCGGCGCCCGCAGGAGACCCCGGCAGGGGAGATGGCGGGGCCCAGGCAGAGCTCGGAGGCCCCTCCCGGCCCCACCCCGCGCCCCGGCCCCCTCTGCCCCCGACCCGGTCCGGGGGAGCCCTCGCGGGACCCCAGCCTGGTCCTTCGCCGCCTCCCCCCGTTCAGCCCCGACCCCCCTGATCCCCGCGCCCCCCGCGGTCCCGGCCCGCCCCCTCCCCCAGCCCGGGCCCCAGCCCCGTCCGTTAGCGGATCCCACGCAGGCTCCGCGCCCGGCCCCGCCGGCGCCCTCGGCCCACACCTCTCTCCGCGCGCGTGTCCCGCCGTGTCGCCCCCGTGTCCCCTCCGCGTCCCCCCCCGCGCCGTCCCCCCGCGTCCCCCCCCGCGTCCTTCCCCCGTGTCCCCCCAGCGTGTCCCTCGGCCGCCCCGCGCGCGCCGGCGGAACTGTGGGATCGCCGCGCACAGGAAGTGGCGGCGGCGGCGCGGCCGAGGGCGGAGGGCGGAGGGCGGCGGGATGGGGGCCGGGGGCGGCGGGCGCCGCACTCGCTGAGGCCCCGACGCAGGGCCGGGCCGGGCCCAGGGCCGAGGAGCGCGGCGGCCAGAGCGGGGCCGCGGAGGCGACGCCGGGGACGCCCGCGCGACGAGCAGGTGGCGGCGGCTGCAGGTGAGCACCGAGGCCCCCACCCGAGGTCGGGCCGCCCCCCTCTTCCCCCACGCCCCGCCGCCGCCCGAGGTCGCCCTCCCGCCGCCGGAGGTCGCCCCTGCCCCAGCCGTCCGACCTCGGGCCGCCCGGGGCCCCGCGCCGCAATGGGCCGGCCGCGCTCCGCGGGGCGCGGGGCCTGGGAAGGCGCGGGGCCGGGAGGAGGTCTGGGCCCGGGTCCTGTGCGCCCCCCGCAACCCCGGCCTCCCCGGCGGCCTGGTCCAGCGCGAGGCCCCGGCCGCTTCCCGCAGCAGCCTCG
This sequence comes from Homo sapiens, assembly GCF_000001405.40. Lineage (NCBI taxonomy): Eukaryota > Metazoa > Chordata > Mammalia > Primates > Hominidae > Homo > Homo sapiens. The sequence continues at coordinate 43,865,641 of NC_000021.9, forward strand.
GTGGCGCTGGGCCCAGCGGGGAGGCCCGGGGGTTCGGGGCGCCCGGGAGGGGCCCGGGCCGGGCCGAGGGAGGGCGAGTGGGTTCCCGCGGGGACGTCCCATCCCTCCGTCCTGGACTCTGCTCCGGGCCCCGCTCGGCTCCCCCGTGGACAGGACGCGCCCGCCGCCTGGTTTCGGGGCGCGGCGGACCCGGGACCCCCCCCAGGGGCCTCCTCCTCGCGCGCCCAGGCCAAGGGAGCAGTTTCACTTTTGCCGCTCCGCGCGGGGAGGGCTGCGGGGCCCGGGGTTGGCTGTGGGTTCGGCCCGGAGACCGGCGGCGCGTTTGCACCGGGCGGGTCAGGGGATGGGGTCAGTCCGGGGGCAAGAGCCGTGGGGGCGAAAACCCACTCCTGGCCACCCCAGGACCCTTGGAACATTGGTCCCAAGTACTTAGGAAAGGAGGGTTATTAGTATTTGAAGGCAGTTAAAAATGGTGCAGTGTTTTTTTTTTTTTTTTTAACTTTGAGAGAAGTTTAGTGACATGGGGAAAATGCTTTTATAAATGGCTTCCCAGACCTTTAAAAAAAAAAAAGCACAATTTTAAAAGCTTTGTCTAGGAGAATACTTGAGCAGTTGGGTTCTTTTTCCTGGGAAACATGATCTTAGTAGAAGAAAGATGTGGGCTGTTGGCCTCCAGACAGAGGGTGATGAGCATGCGGCTCTTATTAAAAATGAAAGCCAACGCCGAGAGCCTGCTGGGGGCTGGGAGGTGGGGCGGGCGGCGGGCCCAGGCTGCTAGAGGGACCCAGGATCCTGCAGCTTTTAAATTGCAGGCGCGGCTGCTCCGACTCGACTCGCTTAGGAATTGCTGAACTTCGTCTTCTCAGTTTGAAAGCTTCAGAGGGGTCTCCCGAGGATGCTGAGCACTCTCTTGATTTGGCCACTTCTTTGCCGCCCCCCCTCCCTCTTTCCAACCAATCCTCCTCCCCCACAGAGTTCGGCGTTAGCCTGTGCCTGTTACAACTCGCTTCTTGTATCCATTTCTGGTTAGTCTTAAGTATCTTCTTGAGGACATTGTCTAAAAAGCAGCTGCATGCCATTGACATTCAGACAGAACAGGGCCCCTTGGCCTTAGAAGGTGTAGGGGCCTTAAATATTCTGAAGGTGACTTCATGGAGTGGCCGCCCTCTGTGGTCACCCTACCTGTGCGTGGCCCTGTCCTGGCGTATCTGCCAGGGGGACGCGCTGCAGCAGCCTGAAGACTGCTGGGTTAAAGGCAGTGTGGCCGGGTGGGAAAGTCCCCAGGAGTGTGGATTCTAGAACAGGCCTTCCTGGAGGGAGGGTGCTGCCCCGCCCCAGGCTGGGGCCCCAGTGCAGACTCCACGCTGGGGAGCTACACCCTGCGCCTGGACGCGCGTCTGTGTGCCAGGACTGGGGAAGCAAACTGAAAGTAATGGCTTTATTTTGGAAATTAGAAAAAGAGCATTCACCAAAGTAATCTGTTCCGTCCCTGCCGTAGACACGTGACTGATACACCTGCCTCCCATCCCCTCCGCACTTTGACCTCGTAAACAAGTGATCTGACACAACAGGGCTTGAGTTACTTGCCCGAGGTTGTGTCACGGAACGGCAGGGCCGCCTTTAGGCTTACATCCCTGGAACTCCCACCTCCACAGACCCGTCCGGGTGCTGAAAGTCCACGGATGCTATCCCTGGTCAAATCAGAGGTAGGTGGGAAATGTTGGAATTCTCCTAAACAGGGAAGGGGAAGATCAGAATGTGTGTTTGAGAAGAGCCTGATTTCCTGGATTCCTTTGGAGGAGGGGTGTCCTTAACTTGCCCAATCACATTTACCCTGTTCATCAATCTTCAGCCCCGCTTAGGCTCTCACATTGCAGACCCCACGGCAGAGCCCCTAGTGCTTGGCACTGAAGAGCCAGTGCAGGCCCGTTGTCACCATCAAAACCCACCTCTGGTAAATTCAATGGCTTCTGCTTCCACGCTTTGCCCCCCCTCTCTGGCCTTGTCAAAAACTCTTGTGATGTCCCTGTTATAAGGTATCGCCGGTGGACTGGTGTTTCTAGATCGCAGCGTGGGACGTGATTGGCTACATTTGACTGTTTCCTTTTTAATGACTTGTTTAATGTGAGATCTTTAGCTGCTCCATCTCATTGCAAGATTTTTGTTACAGTAAAGTTGGACTGAGTTTTCTAAAGACAGTTGCTCAGAAATTTCATGGGAATTTACTTTTGGTTAACCGAAGAGTGTTTGGGGTTTTAAACGGGTCGTTTCAAGTGGTAAAGTAACATGACCACGAGGCGTCTGTCCTTCCTAAAACCACTTCATCATAATTTCAAGATTGATTCTAAATTACCAATTTCAAAGCGCTGCATTTTAGGCAAGTGCATTAATCGTTCACCTTCTGACAGGCTTTCATGTAGTCATTTACAAGCGGCCATGTTTTGATTATCTTTGTCAAGCAAAGTGCAGGAGACAGGCAGTCTCATAACCTTGGGGCAGTGTCTGTGTTTAGTTTTGGAGGCGGGAAGGCCGAGTTGATGGTGAAAGTTGGCCATTCTTTCTGCAGGGCCAAAGTCTGTACCTGGCTATTAGGGTGCATGGATGCTGGGGTTAAATTGGCCACGTCTTTTCCCAAGCCTAGGTAGAAGGATTGCAGATAGGATATGTTTTAAATGTTACTGGTGGTGAATTGAAAGCAACACAACTATCCTTCAGTGTGTGACTGGCAGAAATCTACCTCCTGGCTAGCGTGCCCTGTGTCACTTAAGACTCAAAGTGGAGCTGGGTGCTCTTGGTGGGACAGTGTGCCTGCAGCCCAGAGGCCTGTCCCCAGTGACTGGGAAGGCTATGCATCATTGTTGGAGATGGTCTCGATTCCTTTCTGAAAGCGGGTAGAGAATGAAATGCATAATAAATAACAATAATGATGAATTATAAAATGAGCAGCAGTAACAAGCTGTACAAGGAAATACCTGTCCTGAGATCGATTACTCACCCCTGACTGTCTGCCCTCCTGATTCTCAGCCAGGTGCTGGGAGCTGAGTACCGGCGCTGCAGCCACGCTGGCTCTTGTTCTCTTCCTCATGTCCTATTAGCTGACCTGACACTAAATCTGTCACCTGCTTTATGACATGCTTACCTTATTATTTTATAAGCTCCTCTACATCCCTGTAAGGAGAGTGGTATTGCCCCATCACACAGAAACTGACAGAGACACTGACATGGGAAACTGAGTGGGGAAGTGTGGCCAGCGTCTCAGCTTGGGCAAATCTAGATTTAAACAAAGGTCCAATAGAATCCAAAGCTGTTATTCTTTCCACCAAACCACCTTGATGCTCATAAGATCCAATAGATGAAAATCTACATTTCTGAAACGGAGACTAAGTCATTGGCTTCACATACACGTATTCATTTAAACACTTTTCACTTGTAGAAGGCCGTACTTGCTGGACTGGGGGCTCTGAAATCTCCATCTGAATTGATAGAAACAGATACATGCTGGATATGGAATCAAGAAGAAAATTAATTCAATTGACGTAAATTCATCTATGCTCAGCTTTTTACGGTACACTTGGTGGGAGTAAAATGAAGAGCTGTTTATTGACTCCTCATGTGAAGAATGTGCTGATGATTGGGTTAAGCTTTTCATAGATTGATTTCTGATTTAGGCCATTGTCCTAGTCTAATTGGAGTGATTGATTGAGTGAACAAATGTGCATTTTATTAGGGAGCTACACATAATTTTTGCATTGAGAAATTAACCAGTTGTTATACTTTGTAAAATATGGTGTACTAGCATTGATTTTTGCCAAAATAGACAGAAGTCAGATTGTTAGAGGAAGACCGCGTCAGTTTGGGTTATGCACTTGTCAGTTTGGGAAGCAGGTGCCACGATGAGATGGGAAGTGCAGGAAGAAACCCTGCAGAGGATGGTGGGGGAGCACCAGACCTCCAGGCAGGTCTGACCCCCGTGAGAGGAGGCGGAGGGAGCAGTGCTGGGGAGGAGGAGCCTCAGACCCAGCCCTGAGTTAGGCACAGCCAGCCCAGTGCCAAGTGGACCCCCAGGGTGGCCCTGCGTGAGTACCCGCTTTGGTCATTACCCCTGAAGGGGTCCCGAAGGTGTCTCAGCAAGGAGGCTGTGGCTCACCTGTCTCCTCACCTGTCACCTTGAAGCGGCTTTCTCTGGCAGAGCTCCATGGCGGCCTCAGAAACAAAGTTTAGGGACTTAAAATTTTATGCATGTATTTTAGAGGTGGGGCCTCACTGTGTTGCCCAGGCTGGACTCAAACTATTGGGCTCAAGCGATCCTCCCACCTTGGCCTCCCCAGTAACTGGGACTACAGGTGCTGCCACCACACGTGGCTAAGTTTAGTGACTTTTGATAATCCACAAAAACAAAAGGAACAGTAAAGACAATCCCAACTGTGACTCATTATGCGGCACGGGCGGGCGGGATTTTGGATTAGTTTTAGGAAGCGAACCACAGCCGTCCTCCTTGGACTCCCTGCCGTGGCTGGCAGTGAGCTGGTGCAGGGAGGCGAAGTGCTGGTGTTCTGGGAATTTTCAAATGCACTACAGCGATCAGGACACACGTGTTTCAGTGCACACAGGTTATTTTCAGTTTTCTAAATCAGGAGCTTATTACTATGACTTAAGTTCTAGAACATTGGTTAGAAAATATGTTTGTCGTGCAGTTCAGTTCCAGCTCCAGGCTAGCATTGCATTTTCCTGGAGCCCCAAAGCCTTTGTAACTTTTACTTCTTTTCTTTAAATGTTAGTGAATTATTGGGTCCCCGGGTGGTGGTTCACACCTGTAATGCCAGCACTTTGGGAGGCTGAGGCACGTGGATCACTTGAGGTCAGGAGTTCGAGACCAGACTGGCCAACATGATGAAACCCCATCTCTACTTAAAAAAAAAAAAAAACCCAAAAATTAACCAGGTGTGGTGGCGCATGCATAGGTCCCAGCTACTCGGGACACTGAGGAAGGAGAATGCCTTGAACCTGGGAGGCGGACCTTGCAGTGAGCTGAGATCGTGCCACTGCACTCCAGCCTGGGTGACAGAGCCAGACTCCATCTCAATAAATAAACAAATAAATAAATGTTAGTGAATTATTCAGTATATAATGTTTCTTTTTGGTGAACAAAGCTATACAGGAAAATCGTAAACACAGATTCTGACAGGGTCCAGCTAGGAAGGTAAGTGAGAATGCAGACATGAGGCCTATGAAGGGGTGGCTGTGGTGAACATGAGTGAGAGACTGAGGCCTCTTTCACAGGGTCTGGCTCACCTGACCACCCGCTACTGACCCCCAGCTGAGCAGGGCCAGGTGGGTATAGGACCAGAGTGACTCCATCTTTAGTCTTCCGAGAGAAACCAGGTATCTGGAGTTTTATATGCAATGTATTTATTTTTAACAAACTGCACACGCCAAATTACAAATGTTGCCAACTGAATTCAACTGGGGCTACTGTTTTTACAGTCTCTGGGCTACAGTATTTATTTCTTGAAACAAAGTAACTGAACTAATTAAATGAGGACAAAACACGCATTTCCAAAATGCAGGAAGAGAGGGGGAAAAATCCCAAGAATTTATGTGCAGATGAAACCAAAAGAATCATTGCCTCTGTCTCAGGGATGGCTGCTGGAAACAGCGTTCTCTGATGATGCTTAGAGGAAAGGAGAAGATGGTACTAAGAGAATAAGCATCAATTGGAAAAACAACGTAACTCCACGTGTCTTTAAGGGCCTACGGGAGACCCTCCCGTAAGATCTATGCAAAGATAAAGCCTGCAAAAAATAATGTTTTCAGAATGCATCCATACATTTACCAGAAGCACTTCTAATCTTGACCTGTTTACATGGAATGTTCTATGTCCATGTCTCTGGACACACGTGATCCACATACCCGTCAGCACTTGGCATTGCTGTTGATTTTCGCAAAGCTGGTAGATGCAAAGTGTTGTGCAGTTGTGGTCTTGATTTACGCCTGCCTGCTGGATGAAAGTGAGCATCCTGCATATTTATTGGTTATGTGTGTCCTTCCCTGTGAAGTTCCTGTTCATGTGCTTCATCCATTTTTCTTTTGGGTGATGTCTTTTTCTCACCTATTCCTTATATATAGTTTCCATATTATATATTTCCTTATAGATTCAGGATGTTCATCTTTGGCTGTAATGTGTGCATTATATATTTTTCCCAGTTGGGTTTTATCTTTTCACTTTTTTTGTTTTGGTGAAAAGATAGTTTTAATGTAATGTATAATTTTATCCATCCTTCTTTTCTAGGTAGTGCCTTTTGCATGTTACTTTAAGTTCTTCCCAATTCTTGGGTCACAAATGTATTCTGTATTTTTCTGTAGAAGTTGTAAAGTTTGCTTTCTCTGCTTAAGCCCTTTATCTCTCTAGAGTTGACTGTGCAGGTCTTCCGAGGTGTCTTTTGATAAAGCACCGTGGTATTTCACATTCCACCTGACACTCTGTGCTTACATTTATTCCCAGGTGCCCTTATTATTGTTCTTGCTTTTGTAAATGGTGTTTTTTTTTTTTTTTCTTTTGAGACAAAATCTTGCTCTGTCACCCAGGCTGGAGTGCAGTGGCAGGATCTCAGTTCACTGCAACCTCTGCCTCCCGGGTTCAAGTGATTTTCCTGCTTCAGCCTCCCGAGTAGCTGAGATTACAGGCATACGCCACCATGCCTAGCTAATTTTTGTATTTTTAGTAGAGACAGGGTTTCACCATGTTGGCCAGGCTGGTCTCGAACTCCTGACCTCAAGTGATCCACCCACCTCGGCCTCCCAAAGTGTTGGAATTACAGGCGTGAGCCACCGCGCCGGCCGTAAATGGTGTTTTTTATTTTTATTGATTTCTAAGTCTTTGCTGGTGTTCTGTAGAAATGCAGTTGACTTTTGGGTATTGATTTAACAGCTGATCACCTTGCCATTGCTTAAAATTTATTTGTAGATTTTGGGGATTTTCTCAGTAGACATTCACGTCATGTGGGAGTGGTGAAGACTCTGTTTCTTCCTTATATCTTTCGTATTTTTCCTTCCTGTTTTGCTGCCTGGGCCAGGCCCTCCTGAGCAGGGCTGTATGGAAGTGTGACAGGCCATCCTTGTCCTGTTCCTGATTTTAGGGAAATGCTTCTACCATGCTGCCTTCCGGTGTGGGTACAAACAGTGGCCGTTTAGTTCTGAATCGTCCCACTCTGCCTCCTTGAAGCAGAGGAGGCCTGGTGTGAGAAATACAAACAAAGTGACCCAAAAGCAAGGAGCTGGAGAGATGGAAGATCCACTGTCATGGGTCACCGGGAAGACGCAGAAACAAAACCACAGAGAGCTGCGGCCTCCCCCTGCCGGGACGGCGAAACTTAAAAGACTGTGGGGACAAGTGCTGGAGAAGATGTGGGGGCAGACAGAGCACTGGTGCCAGCGTGGCTGCTTTGGGAATGGCAGGAGCTGCAGGGAGATGGCATCGAGTGGCGGGTGCACCTGCCGTGTGCTTCCCGGGGGACATGCTGAGGTGCTCATAGTGGCATGGGTGTTGGAGTCAGACCCCGGGAGCTCTCTCAATGCCTGTCTCCAAATAAAATGAAAAATAACCTCGTGCTACATTCGCCATGGAAAGGGGAAGGAAGGAGCTCCTCCAGGCCGCAACATGTGTGCGCCTCCGGAGGATAACGCTGGGTGGAAGGAGTGAGCCGCAGAAGTGTATGCAGCACCTGACTTCATCAAGGTAAAGCACGCGCACCAGCAAAACCCATGTGCCCTGAGGACTCCGGCTCTAGTACCTGGAAGGAGAACACAGGGCTTCTGCATCCTCTGCCTCCCGGGTTCAAGCGATTCTCCTGCCTCAGCCTCCCGAGTAGCTGGGATTACAGGCGCGCACCACCACGCCTGGCTAATTTTTGCATTTTCAGTAGAGACGGGGTTTCACCATGTTGGCCAGGCTGGTCTCGAACTCCTGACCTCAGGTGATCCTCCCACCTTGGCCTTCTAAAATGCTGGGATTACAGGCGTGAGCCACTGCGCCCAGCCCAAGTTGTCAGTTTCTTGATACAAAGGTCAGAATATTTTCTTAATTTTTAAATCTCTACTATATCTGACAGTAAATCACCCTTTTCATTCCTAAAATGGTTTTACCTTTCTTTTCTAGATTCATCTCACAGAGGCTCATCTTTTTTATTAGTGTTCACAAAGAACCAGCTATCAGTCTTACTCATTTTCTCCACTGTGTCTTTGTTTCCGTATCACTAATTTCTGCTCATTGTCAGGATTTCCTTCTACACTCTTTGGGTTTATTCTGGTGTTCTCTTTCTAGGTTACTGAATTGAAACATTTTCTTTTCTATTTTCTCTAAGCTTAGTTTCTTAATTTTCAACTTTCTGTCATAAGTATTTTATTATTATTTTTTGAGACAGAGTCTCCCTCTGTCACGCAGGCTGGCGTGATCTCGGCTCACTGCAACCTCCGCCTCCCGGATTCAAGTGGTTCTCCTGCCTCAGCCACCTGAGTAGCTGGGATTATAGGCGTGTGCCACCATGCCTGGCTAACTATTGTATTTTTAGTAGAGACAGGGTTTCACCATGTTGGCCAGGCTGGTCTTGAACTCCTGACCTCAGGCAATCCGCCCACCTCGGCTTCCCCGAGTGCTGGGATTACAGGCATGAGCCACCACGCCCGGTCCTGTCATAAGCATTTAAGTCTATGTAGCTTTCCTACTTAGTTCTGCTGTACTGTCGTCTTGTTTATTTTGATATGTAATATTTTCATTGTTCAGCATTTTACAATTTTATTATTCTTCCATGACCCATGAATGCATTTATGTCCAAAGGCATTGAGGATTTTAGGTTGTTTTTATTATGATTTCAGCTGAAAAGCCTCATGGGCAGAGGGATATAGTCTGTATAGCACTGAGTCTCTGGCATTTCTTTAAGGATTGAATTCTATTATGTATCTTCTGGCTTATAAAGTTGCGGTTAGGAAGCCAGCTGTCATTTCAATTGTCCTTCCTGTGTCAGTAGTAAGCTTTTTGTCTGGCTGCTTTTATAGTCTCTTTATTTCTGGTGTTTTTCAACTTGACTGTGGTCTTTCTAGCATGGATTTCTTTTTGTTTATCCTGTTTTGGATTCATTGTACTTTCTGAAGATAAAGTATCATGTCTTTCAGCAATTCTGGAAAATTTTCAGCCATTATTTTGTTCAATACAGTCATTCTGCGGTATCCACTAGGGATTGGTTCCAGAACCCACCATGGATACCAAAATTAGTGGATGCTTAAGTTCCTGATATAAAATGGTGTCGTATTTGTATATAACCTGTGCACATTCTCCCATATATGTATTTTTTTCTTTGTTTTTGAGATGGAGTCTCACTCAGTCGCCCAAGCTGGAGTGCAGTGGCACGATCTTGGCTCACTGTAACCTCCGCCTCCCAGGTTCAAGCAATTCTCCAGCCTCAGCCTCCTGAGTAACTGGAATTACAGGCGCCCACCACCACGCCTGGGGTAATTTTTGTATTTTTAGTAGAGAAGGGGTTTCACCATATTGGCCAGGCTGGTTTTGAACTCTGACCTCATGATCTGCCCTCCTCGGCCTCCCTCCCGTGTATTTTTAAATCATCTTTAGATTACTTATAGTATCTAATACAATGCCTATATATAACTTCATTAATGTGGATTTAATATAGTAGAGAGCAGCAAATTCAAGTTTTGCTTTTAGGAATTTTTCCACCCAAATATCTTTGATCCACAGTTGGTTGAATCCACAAATGTGGAACCCCTAGATATGGAGGGTCAACCATACAGCATCTGCCTTATGCTTTGCTTTCTCATACCATCCTCCCAGCCACTTAAACTCTCGTTCATGTTTTTACCTTTCAGTCTTTTTATGCTTCATTCCAGGTTATTTCTTCAGCTGTCTTCCAATTTAGCAACTCTATCTTCATCTCCATCTACTGTGCTATTTAAATAGGTATACATTTTTTTTGAGATGGAGTCTTGCTCTGTTGCCCAGGCTGGAGTGCAGTGGTGCAATCTTGGCTCACTGCAACCTCCGCCTCTTGGGTTCAAGTGATTCTCCTGCCTCAGCCTGAAGAGTAGCTGGGATTACAGGTGCCCACCACCATGCCCGGCTAATTTTTGTATTTCTAGTAGAGACGGGGTTTCACCCATTTGGCCAGGCTGGTCTCAAATTCCTGACCTCAGGTGATCCACCTGGCTTGGCCTCGCAAAGTGCTGGGATTACAGGTGTGAGCCACCGTGCCCAGCCTCTGCGCTATTAATATTTAACCTGTTATTGTTGTTCTTTTTCTTTTTTCTTTTTTTTTGTTGGTAGAGATGGGGTCTTGCTATGTTGCCAGGGCTGGTCTTGAACTCCCAAGGTCAAGTGATCCTCTCACCTCAGCCTCCCAAGTGCTGGGATTACAGGCACCATGCCCAGCCTAACCTGTTCTTTTAATTTTCATTTTTTTAATAGTTATATTTTTCATTCCTGAAAGTTCTCTTTGTTTTTTTCCAAGTTTGCCTCTCCTCTTGTTTGGTATTCTTTTCCTTACACTTATTTTTATTTTCTCTTTATGTCTAAACATACTTATTTTCTATACTGTAACTAATAATACCAAAGTAATACCGATAATAATATTAACAAATACTAAAATTTGAATTTCTTGAGGGTTGGACTCCGCCACTTGTTCTGCTACCTCTTGCTCCCTGATCCTTGCCTGTCACACACTTTGTGATTTTGGATTGTGGGCTCATTTCACATGGGCTTTGTCTGTGGATTCCTGCAAGGCTTGAAGGGAGCAAAGCCTCCCTGGAGAAGCCCTGCTCCTACCAGGAGTCCAGGAGTGGGACTGATCTAGAATTACTTTAGGCTGATTTCCTGGGCTCACAAAGGGGATGTCTAAAGACATAATTGACTTAGATGGAAAGTGATCCTACAGCAGAAATCTGAGATTGAAGAAATTGCTGATGGTGGAGGTGGATCTACATAAATCCTGATGAGTGAAACCGTAATGAACAGTAGAAGGAATGTCACAGATTAGATATACCAAAATGACCAGGCTGTCTGGGGGGAAATTTTTTCTCACTCTAAAACTACCTGGTGGAGGACAACGTGTAATTTCCAGGGTGTTTAAAGCTGGGAAGCCTCCCCACTGAGCACGTCATTATCAAATGCTTTTCACCAGTTTTTGTTTTGTTTTGTTTTGTTTTTTGTTTGTTTTATTTGTTTTTTTTTGAGACAAAGTCTCACTCTGTTGCCCAAGCTGGAGTGCAGTGGTACGATCTTGGCTTACTGCAACCTCCGCCTCCAGGGCTCAAGTGATTCTTGTGCCTCAGTCTCCTGAGTAGCTGGGACTACAGGTGCATGCCATCACGCCCAGCTAATTTTTTGTATTTTAGCAGAGATGGGATTTGACCATGTTACCCAGGGTGGTCTTGAACTCCTGAGCTCAGGGGATCCGCTTGCCTTGGCCTCCCGAAGTGCTGGGATTACAGGTGTGAGCCACCATGCCCAGCCCACCAGTTTTAACAATTGCAAAATGTGACTCAGATTTTGTCCTTATAAACTTAACCTTTTGTCGACTTCCCTGTCACCCATCCCACCTGAGATGCTTTCTGCTGCTTTAGCACAGGCAGACTAGGTTGCCATTTCAATTGGCTTTCTTCAGATGACTTGTATTCGGTAGCTGAAGAACTGCTGTACATATACATGGCATATGCCAGTAATAGTTAAAGGGCATGTGAGGTTTCAAAAGTAGAAAATAAATGTGAAGGAAAAGACTAGGAAGCACCTGAAATGGTGCTATTCTTTTTTTTTTCTTTTTGAGATTCACTCTTGTTGCCCAGTCTGGAGTACAATGGTGCCATGTTGGCTCACCACAACTTCCGCCCCCCGGGTTCAAGTGATTCTCCTGCCTCAGCTTCCTGAGTAGCCGGGATTACAGGCATGCACCACCATGCCCTGCTATTTTTTTGTATTTTTAATAGAGACGGGGTTTCTCCTTGTTGGTCAGGCTGGCCTTGAACTCCCGACCTCGGGTGATCCGCCCGCCTTGGCTTTCCAAAGTGCTGGGATTACAGGCATGAGCCACTGCGCCTGGCTGAAATGGTGCTATTCTTGGGATCTGGCTGAGGATATCTTCCCAGCAGGCCCATTCCCATCGTTGTTCTGGTATCACCATCTTGTCCCCTCTATCTTCTGTCTCCACTGGTGTCCAGGACAGAAACCTGGGCCCCATCTATGACCCCCTTCCTCCATCTCCCACACCCCCTTCCCCATCTATGGCTCCTTGACCCTCACGATTCCCCTTGCCCGCCTCCTGCCCCACCACCAGCCTCGCTTTCGACTGAGACTGCCCGTGGTCTTGCGTGGGGTCGCTCCAGCTCAGATCCCATCACACTTGTTCCCCACAGAACAAGAGGCAGCCTTTCAGTGGCCCTGCGCTTTCCCCGCCACTGCTTGCTCAGCCCCCACCCGTGATGACGCCTGCTGATGTCAGTGTCCCCCGACCTCACGCTCTGCACCCCCACACCCGGTCTTCAAGCTGCCCCACTGGCCACACTCTGCCTTGGACTTTAGCCTGCCTGGAACACACTTTCTCCTTTTGCCTGGTGACTTCGACCTGGATGTCACTTTGCCGAGGTGGCCTGCTCCTATCCTGAGTGTGAGTTAGATACACACACACACTTAATGCACAACGGAGTCACGTCGTGGCTCTGTCTCTGCGGCCTGCCCGCTTCAGTTCACATTGCACTGCTGACCTTCCCATTTGCCCCCTCGAGGGAGGGCTGCACTGGGCTCCGCTGTGTGGACACAGCCAGCTGTGGCCAGCCCTGTCAATGGACACTGATGCCGCTCCGTTTTCCCAGTTATAAATATGATGGGCATCCTTGTACAGTTCTTCTCTAGTCAATGTCTTGAAGGTAAAGTCTACAGGTGGATTGCTGAGTAAAGGGTCTTGCCATTTCAAAGACGTTAGACACGTTGTTGCTGATTTACCCTCTGCAAAGATCACGTCTGTTTCTACTCACACCAGTAGTATTTGAAAGAATGACACTGTTGTAGATGTTTAATAGTTTTTTATTTCCATTTGTCTTTTTTTTTTTTTTTGGACACAGAGTTTTACTCTGTTGCCCAGACGGGAGTGCAGTGGTGCAATCTCGATCTTGGCTCATTGCAACCTCCACCTCCCGGGTTCAAGCGATTCTTGTGCCTCAGCTTCTGGAGTAGCTGGGATTGAAGTTGCACGCCACCACACCTAGCTAATTTTTGTAATTTTTGTAGAGATGAGGTTTCACCATATTGGCCAGGCTGGTCTCAAACTCCTTGCCTCAAGCAACCTGCCCACCTCGGGTCCTAAAGTGCTAGGATTACAGGTGTGAGCCACCACGCTTGGCTTGTCTTCTAGTTTTGAAATTCAACATGCCACTGGCTGCAGTGTCTCATGCCTGTAATCCCAGCACTTTGGGAGGCTGAGGCAGGCTGATCACTCGAGGTCAGGAGTTCGAGACCAGCCTGACCAACATAGCAAAACCCTGTCTCTACTAAAAATACAAAAACTAGCTGGGTGTGGCAGTGCGTGCCTGTAATCCCAGCTTCTCAGAAGGCTGAGACATGAAAATTGCCTGAACCCAGGAGGTGGAGGTTGCAGTGCGCTGAGATTGTGCCACTGCACTCCAGCCTACAACAGAGTGAGACTCTATCTCAAAAAAAAAAAAAAAAAAAAAAAAAATCCAACATGCTAAGACTGAGTAAAGCTTCATCTCCTGTGAATACCGTATAAAGCACAATTGATGCTGTACAGTATTTTATTTCAGCTGTGAAAAGGGACCGCGGGTGTCTGGCTGTGCTGGAGGAGGAGTCTGGTCTTTCTCGGTGGGAAGTGCTGGGTGGCCGTGGGCTTGGAGGCTGGGTCGTGGGGGTGTGGCCCAGGCAAGTTTCCTTCTCTGCTCTCGGCTGTGCACCTGTCTCCTTGTCTGTTCTCCTTCAGCAGTTTGTGAGGCTGCACATGTGAAAATGCCTTGTCAATGGCACAGTGGCACGTGGACCTGCTGCGCTGTGTGCGTGTCAGGGCGGCCATGTTGTGTGTGGCTGTCTGCACTCTGAGTCCTGGCTGGGCCGCCCGGGGATGATGGCACTTAGGGAAGAGTGACTGCAATCAATGAGCACCACGTTGAAAAGCAGAGCAATCTAGAAGCGACAGCCTGAGCTCTGCGCCTTTGTCCTGAGCTGGCCTTAGGACCTCTGGGCACCTGGTACTCTTGCTTCCCGTGAGCTCCCGTGTCCCCGCATCCTGGCATGTGGGCCTCTCCCTATGCTCCTGGGGTGGAACTGAGAAGACGTGGGTTCTGCCCGTCTCTGTTACTGTTTATTCTTGAAGAACAGGGCAGCATGACTCCGGGGCGGAGGACGCAGCCCTGCATCCCTTGCGTCCCCAGGCATCTTAGGAGCACTGTGGAAACTCAGGGTGTGGACTTGAGCTTCGACATCAGTTGGCACTGGCCTTTTGCACCCATGAAATTGATGTTTGTCTGTGGCCTCCCAGGCTGGTGCTGTGTTCCTGGACCAGCGTCCGATTTCCCTGCTGCTGAATCACTTCATGGCTCAGCACAGCTGAGGGCAGCAACTGTTGTCCCCTAGAGCCCGAGATCTGGGAGCGGCAGGGGCAGCCACTGTTCCTGTGGAACACACTGGAGAGGCATCTGCAGGGGCGGGGTGGGGCTCCTGGTCAGCCTGTTCTTGTCTTGTTCTGGTGCCACTTCCTCAGGTATGCGAGGGCTGCCTTTGTAAGTCACTGGCAGGAAGATGGGAAAGGTGCTCTGCAGGTCTCTACTGCCAGGAGCTCAGCTTTGATCTTGAGTGCTGGTGGCTGTCCAGCTTTACTGGCAGGGATTCTGATGACTCAGAGACAGTAGCTACCCTTTTCCCAGTGGTATTGCCACTGAGTGTGGGATGGGTCACAGCTATGTCTGTGGCCTTTTGCAAATCAACTTCAAAATTTGCAGTCACATTTATGGTAGGACAGATTCATTTCACAATGATTTTGCCAATTACCCTTGTTATTTCCACTCACATATATCTCCCCAAAGTGGAAACAAGGACACGTCTAGAGACAGGCGCTGGACGTCTCCTGCTCACTGGCATTAAGTGGGCAGGCGGCTTATTGCTGAGTGATGGTCCCTGGACATTTCCAGTCGACTGTGTTTGACATGGTGGTGAATTGGACACGTGACAGGTGGCAATATGTTAACTGTTCGTAGCAAGGAAGATTTGTTTTCAGGCTGGTGGTTTGATTACAAGTTGGTCATTCTTAATGCCAGGGAGGGGGAAGAGAGAGAAAATGAGAGAGAATGAATGAGAACAAATGTAAGAACTTTTTTTGGAAAAAAAGAAAATTGAGAAGAAAGTGATAGTAATTACTAATTGTTTTTACTTTGTCACTTATTATGTATTTATTTCCAGAAAGGGATCAGTTTTTTCTTCCTTCCAAGTTTTGTGGAAGAAAAAGAAAACTGAAAGTATTTAATAACTGTGTCATAATTTTTATTTTGTGCCTTGTGATTACATTGTATTTTGGGGAGTGGGTCAATTTTTTCTTAAATTAAGAAATGCTTTATATGAAAACACATACATAAAGTATTGAACCCCTGCACCTGCCTCAAGTGGAGAAATTAACCACTATAAATACTTTAGAAGGCAAAGGGTTGGTGAAGCTGAAAACTGCTAAAATTCTTAACATGCAGACAGAAAAGGGAGGTGGGAAGGATGTCGCCCTCAGAGAACGTGTCATACCTCAGCCTGTGCTGTCTGGGGCAGACGGCATGAGCCATGCAGCCCACAGAGGCATGCTGGAAACATGGCTGGTGGGAACTGAGATGTGTTTGTGGTGTGAAATGCACGCCGATCTCAGAGGCTTGATATGAAAGAGAATGTAAGTGATCTCATTCATATTCTTCTATATTGGTTACACGTAGAAATGATAATATTTTGGATATACTGGGTTAAATAAAATGTATTATTAATTTTTTTTTTTAGATGGAGTTTTGCTCTGTCGCCCAGGCTGGAGTGCAATGGCACAGTCTTGGCCCACTGCAACCTCTGCCTCCTGAGTTCAAGCCATTCTCCTGTCTCAGCCTCCTGAGTAGCTGGGATTACAGGTGCATGCCACCACGCCCGGCTAATTTTTGTATTTTTAATAGAGACGGGGGTTTCATCATATTGGTCAGGCTGGTCTCGAACTCCTGACCTCAGGTGATCCACCTGCCTCAGCCTCCCAAAGTGCTGGGATTACAGGCGTGAGCCACCATGCACGGCCTATTAAAAACATTTTTTTGCCAATTTCTTTTTACTTTTGAATGTGGCCTCTAGCAATGTAAAGTTGCACACAGGCCGGCATTTGCAGCTCACGTGTGTTTGCCATGTTGGCGTGGTCCAGGGTCTAAGCCACTGCAGGGGCAGACCCTTGTCCCTTGGGTGAGTCCCTCATCTGGGGGCCCTGTGCCCAGGGCTGAGGGAGTGGTCAGTCTCAGCCTGTCATTCCCCGCCCTGCCGGGCCCCACATCTCCTTTGCATAATGGAGGTAATGCAGGAAAATGCTTAGAGCAGGGTCTGGCAAATGTGTTATTAGTGCTCTGTGTTATTAATAAAGCATTGTGATGTCTCTTGTGCAGTATGGAAATAGGTTTCGTAGATTGCACTCAGGATTTCAGATTGACACGTATTTCCATCTGGAAACTCTTGCACGCGTTTGCACTGGGAGATGAAGTGGTCCCTGTTGGCTCAAGCTGCAGTGAGAGGGTGGTGGGGGTAGACTCAGTCCCTTGCCGGGGTTGGCCAAAGCAGGCTTCCTCTTCCTCCCTCAGGTGTGTGTTATCGGAGGTTTCATTCCTGGAAAATCCAGTGTCTATGAAACCAACATACATGGCGTTTGCATCACAGTTGGAGTCAGATGTGAGCCCGGAGGGCAGGTGTCTGGTAAGACCCATGAAGGCTGCATTTCAGCCCCCCTCTAAGAACCAGCAGTGCCTTCCATCACTGCAACAGCAAACACCCCTCCATAAACATCTAGGGCAGCGAGCAGTCACATCCCGTGAGACTCAACTGGGTCAGAGGGCCCTTGCTTGGGTCTCCTCCAGCCACGGGTGCCCTGGTCTTGGGGGGTGGTGCCCCTGGGTGGGGCTTAAGGAGGTAGCTGCCCAGCTCTGCCTGTTGTCTCCATCCTCAGGGGCCTGGGGCAACTGCTGGCCACCAAGCAGTGTCCAGTGTCATAGCCGCTCACTTGTCCTGTGGGGCCACCCATGAGATGCAGGATTCCTGGTCAGCCCCAACACCAGGCCCACACCTCCACGCAGGCCTGGAAGGCAGGAGAGAGCAAGCTTTCTTCTCCTTTATTTGTGAATTATCAGCACCTAGAAACTTAAGCGGGCAAATGCTGAATTGCTGGAGACTGTGAAGCTGTGATACACACAGAGTTGCTCCTTCCCTTCCTGGCTGGGGTGCTGGCCTGGGGAGCCTCCTGCCCGGGTCACTCCACTGCGCATGCTCTGTGGCTACCGTGAGACTGACCTGCCTCAGACACCCTTCTCCTTGAGCCTCAAGGGCCTCATGGCCTGGACCTCCGTGATCAGCCAGAGGAGCCCAGAGTCCATGGTGCTGTGGCCTCCTGCCCACTCTGGGACCCCAGGGAGAGGGCCTGTCCTCGCTGAGCCTCCGACACCGGTTCTGAGCCTCTTGGACAACATTTTCTCTCCAGTTTACAAGTAGGAGCCCCTTGCATAAATAAGATGGGGAAAATCCCTGCAGATGACATGGCCGGGGCCCTGGGCCCCGGGAGCCATTTCTGTTCCTTGTCACTCAGCCTGGCCAGTCCTTGAGTTTTTCCCCAGAGTGTCCTCAATAAGGAATAGCAAGCCTGGGTATTTTCTTCTGGTCAGTATTCCGTTTTTTTGTTTTGTTTTGTTTTTTGTTTTGGAGATGGAGTTTCGCTCTGTTGCCCAGGCTGGAGTACAGTGGTATAATCTCGGCTCACTGCAGCCTCTGCCTCTTGGGTTCAAGCGATTCTCCTGCCTCAGGCACCCAAGTAGCTGAGGTTACAGGTGCCCACTGCCACACCTGGCTAATTTTTGTATTTTTAGTAGAGATGGGGTTTTGCCATGTTGGCCAGGCTGGTCTCAAACTTCTGACCTCAGGCAATCCACCTGCCTTGGCCTCCCAAAGTGCTGGGATTACAGGTGAGAGCCACTGTGCCTAGCTAATTTTGTATTTTTAGTAGAGAGACGGGGTTTCTCCATGTTGGTCGGGCTGGTCTTGAACTCCTGAGCTCAAGTAATCCGCTTGCCTCAGCCTCCCAAAGTGCTGGGATTACAGGTGTGAGCCACCACGCCTGGCCAGTGTTCTGGTCTGTTTGTGATGGGTGTAAGAATCTGTCTCTTTAAAGAGGTGCCTCTGGCCAGGTGGTTACCTCTGTCACCAGAGATGAGTCACCCAGTCTCAGCTCGCAGGCCTTCCTGGACGTTCCCAGATAGTCCCCAGTGCTGGAGGCCTGTCGAAAGTGTAGCTCCACCACGCCCTTTGATCTCTTCCTCCTCTCCTCTTCCCCACCCGCTTCCCCCTCCTTCCCCCTCCTTCCCCCTCCTCCTTCCCCCTCCTCCTTCTCTCCTGCTGAGGGCATTTGGCCTCATAGATAAGCGGTTTCTAATGAGCTCACTGGTTTCCGATGGTGGGTGGGGAGTGACTCTGGGCTTTCTGTGCTGCCTCTTCGACCTCGTCCCTGTTTTCTGCTGTGCGGAGCATGGCCCTTTCCTAATCCGAAAGAGCCGCACAGTCCCTTCCAGTGCTGCCTGTGGTCTCGCCCAGCTGGCTGTGCTATTGCGGGACATGGGGCCCAGCCTCCTGCTCCTTCAGAGGCCTGGGGTGGGTGAGGCTGGGGTGCCCTGGTGCTGGATGCAGGGGTGCTGTGGTGCTGAATGCTGGGGTGCCCTGGTGCTGGACGTTGGGTGCCCAGGCACTGGATGCTGGGGTGGCCTGGTGCTGGATGCTGGGTGGCCTGGTGCTGGGTGGCCTGATGCTGGGTGCTGGGTGGTCTGGTGCTGGATGCTGGGTGGCCTGGTGCTGGGTGCTGGGTGGCCTGGTGCTGGGTACTGGGTGCTCTGGTGGTGGATGCAGAGGCAGGGCTATCTGTGGGTCTGCCCTTGGGTGTGGGGCAAGCCAGGTCAGCATATTGCAAAGCACACGTTGGGCTGCTGCTTGTGTAATTGTCTCCTTGTCTCTGCTCTCTCCCTTCTCCCACCTCACATGGGATAGATCGGAGTTAACAGTGATGCCTTTGTTTTTTGTCAAAAGCATCATACTCATGCCCCGTGGCATTCTCTTTAAGGGAAGAGCTGGTTTTACTAAAGATGTGCTTCAATGCAGTGACGTGCGGTGCTGAGCAAGGCCGGGAACCTGGCCCCTGACCTGTGTACACTGGCCGGCCGTGCTCCCCTCACCCTGCGGCTAGACCTCAAATGGCATCCCCACCTCCCTCAGCCAACTGCAGCCCCTCTGGTAGCATGGAGCTCGCAGACGCTGGGTGCAGGAGGCCTGGGCCTGGGCCAGACGGGTTCCCTGCACAGCTGCTTTTGCGTCATTGATGCAGACGCGGAGACTCACTTCTCTGCTTCGTGTGTTCCTAGTTGGTCTCCAGTTCTTGAACAAATAACTTTCAATTACAATTTTTTTTCTACTTATGATTGCCAGTTTTTCTTTTTTCTTTTTTTTTTTTTTTGAGACAGAGTCTTGCTCTGTCACCCATGCTAGAGTGCAATGGCATGATCTCAGCTCACTGCAACCTCCACCTCCCGGGTTCAAGCAATTCTCCTGTCTCAGCCTCACAGGTAGCTGTGATTACAGGCACACGCCACCATGCCTGGCTAATTTTTGTATTTTTAGTAGAGATGGTCTACTAAAAATCAGGCTGGTCTCAAACTCCTGACCTCAAGTGATCCACCCGCCTTGGCCTCCCAAAGTACAGAGATTACAGGCATAAGCCACCGTGCCCAGTGCCAGTTTCTTATATAAGCTGATTTGGAGGAAGAAAAGGGCCTGTTGTTTGATGACTCTGTGGCCCCAGGCCCAGCCCTGTGGAAGCCTGGAGTATACGGCCGGGGTTTGTGGCACAGGCGAGGGGAGCCACAGGTGAAGGTGTGCAGGTGCGCAGGTGCGCAGGGCTCCTGTGGGTGAGGGCACCGTGGCTCAGGGATGGGTAAGCAGTGTTTTCAGGAGCACTGAGGAGCGGGCCAGTGCTGGCAAGGGGGTTCCTTGGCAGCAGCTGACAGGAGGGAAGGTTGCCCGGTCAGGGGCTCCAAATACAGGCAGGGGTTTTTGCAAAGCCGGGGCAGCGACATGGCAATCGTGATGCCATAGGAAGCCGAAGCCTGCAAAGGGCACAGCTGGGTGGACGCAGCACCTGCGGCCAGAGACTGGTGGCTGAGCATGGGGGTGCCTGGCATGGAAACTTGCAGGGCTTGGAGCTGATGGTTAGGGGAGGGAGTCACCAATATCACCTCTGCTCCTCCTGGCAGTCCCCCTGCTGTGCTATCAAATATTAGGTCTTTATACTAGATCTTTTTTTATTAAAAAAATTTTTTTTAAAGATGGAGTCTTGCTCTGTTGCCCAGGCTGGAGTGCAGTGGCGTGGTCTCGGCTCACTGCAACCTCTGCCTCCCGGGTTCAAGTGATTCTCATGCCTCAGTCTCCCGAATAGCTGGGATTACAGCCATATGCTATCATGCCTGGCTATTTTTTGTATTTTTAGTAAAGATGGTTTCACCCTGTTGGCCAGGCTGGTCTCGAACTCCTGACCTCAAGTGATCCACCCGACTCAGCCTCCAAAAGTACTGGGATTACAAGCATGAGCCATCACACCTGGCCAAATACTAGGCCTTATTCATTCTTTCTAACTAATTTTTATACCCATTAACCTCCCTCTACCCCCATATCCTTCCCAGCCTTCTCTGTCTTCATGAGTTCAGTTGTTTTGATTTTTACATCCCACAAATAAGTGGGAACATGTTATGCTTGTCTTTCTGTGCCTGGCTTATTGCACTTAATATAATGAGCTCCAGTTCCATCCATGTTGTTGCAAATGACAGAACCTCATTCTTTTTTATGGCTGAATAATACTCCATTGTGTATAAGAACCACATTTTCTTTATCCATCCGTCTCTTGATGGACATGTGGGTTGCCTCCAAATCTTGGTTCTTATGAACAGTGCTAAATGAACATGGAAGTGCAGGTATCTCTGATATACTGATTTCCTTTCTTTTGGGTATATACCTAAGAGTTAGATAGCTGGGTCACATGGTGGCTGTATTTTTAGTTTTCTGAGGAACCTCCAAACTGCTCTCAATAGTGGTTGTACTAACTCACATTCCCACCAACAGTGGTTTGCTGGAGATTTCATAGTGCAGGAACTGGCTAAACGTGGGTACTCCAAAGCAGCCCTGCTAACCAGGTCAAGGCCCAGCTCCTTCTCTGTTTTTGCAGGTGAAGTAGTACTGGCTGTCACTCCATTGCCTTCTTGGTGCCTGTGGCCACTGTTGAGCTGCAATGGCCCCAAGCCTGAAATATTCACCATCTTCCTGCCCAGAAGCAGTCGCCACCCTCTGTTCTGGATGAAAAGACCCCAAAGAAACAACCAAATGCAGCCTAGGAACCTGGATTAGAGTCCAGGTTGAAACAGCAACTATCTCAGTGTTTCTGGGACAGCTGGGGAAATGCAAATGTAGGTTGACTAATAGATGATATCAGGGACTAAGGGTTAATTTTCTTAGTGTGCTAATTTTATTGTGATGATGAAGAAGGCCTTACTCTTAGCAGAGACACACTGAAATATTTGGGTATAAAGTGCTATGATGTCTGGAAGTAATGCTCAGGTGGTTGAGGAATAAAAGCGTGCGCACACGCACACACACACACACAACTGCGCTCTCCTCAAATGTTAATTCTAATATAGGTAGTTGTATACAGAGTTTATTTATTTATTTATTTAGAGACAGAGTTTCGCTCTGTCACGCAGGCTGGAGTGTAGTGGCGTGATCTTAGCTCACCGCAACCTCCACCTCTCAGACTCAAGTGATTCTCCTGCCTCAGCCTCCCAAGTAGCTGGGACTATAGGCGCCCGCCATCACACCCACTGACTTTTGTATTTTTAGTAGAGACTGGGTTTCGCCATGTTGGCCAGGCTGGTCTCAAACTCCTGAGCTCAAGTGAACTCCTGCCTCAGCCTCCCACAGTGCTGGGATGACAGGCATGAGCCACCACGCCCGGCCCATATACACGTTCTTGTTGTACTATTAATTCAACTTCTCTATACAAACTTTTCATTTAAAAAGTTGGAGAAAACATCGTGTTTTAGTTTTTTGTTTGTTTATTTTTGAGACAGAGTCTCACTCTTTCACCTGTATTGGAGTGCAGTGGCACAGTCGCAGCTCCCTGCAGCCTCAACCTCCCAGGCTCAAACGATCCTTCCACCTCAGCCTCCAAGTAGCTGGCACTACAGGTGCACACCACCACACCCAGCTAATTTTTAATTTTTTTGTAGAGATGGGGTCTCAGTATATTGCCCAGGCTGGTCTCGAATTCCTGGGCTCAAGCAATCCTCCTGTCTCAGCCTTCCAAAATGTTGGAATGACAGGCTTGCATCACTGCACCCAGCTTGGTTTTACTTTTTAACATTTGTAAGGCTTTACTCCACCTGGAATTGTTTTTGTGTAGGATATATATATATATGAAAGCTAATGTATGCTGGGCTTAATGCCTAGGTGATGGGATGGTCTATGCAGCAAACCACCGTGGCACACGTTTACCTGTGGAACAGACCTGCACATCCTGCACATGTACCCCGGAACTTAAAATAAAAGTTGAAGAAAAAAAGAAAGAAACCTTAGCAGGGTAGCTAGATAAATGGTAAGGTCAATCAATATTCTTATATATCAGCAACAAACAGGTAGAAAATGAATTATTTAAATACCAGTTACAGTAGCATCCAAAATATGAAGTACCAGGAAAACATTAAACAGAACATGGGCCGGGCGAGGTGCTTCACGCCTGTAATCCCAGCACTTTGGGAGGCCAAGGCGAGCGGATCATGAGGTCAGGAGTTCGAAACCAGCTTGGCCAACATGGTGAAACCCCATCTCTACTGAAAATATAAAAATTAGCCAGGCATGGTGGCATGCGCCTGTAATACCAGCTACTCAGGAGGCTGAGGTGGGAGGATGGCTTGAACCCGGAAGGCGGAGGTTGCAGTGAGCTTAGATTGTGTCATTGCACTCCAGCCTGAGCAATAGAGTGAGAACTTGTCTCAAAAAAAAAACAAAGTTTCTTATTGATTTTAAAAATCTTATCTGTACATTATTTCAGATTTTTAAACATTTATTTCTTTAACTTTTAGATTTTGAAGTGCACAGTCATGTCATCTGTGAATAACAACAGATTTGTTTTCCTTTTCAGTCCTTAGATTTCTATTGACTTTTCTTGTCGTCCTGTGCTGGCATCTCCAACAAGCATGGGACTGAGGTGATGAAGGCATGTTGGCGACAGAGGGTCCTCACCAAAGGGAAACCTTCCTTGTTACACTGCTAAGTGAAGTGGTTGTTGTGGGTTTTTTTTTTTTTTTAATGTTTTTTATCAAGTTGAGAAAATTCCCCTCCATTTCGCATTTGCCAGGAGGTTCTGGTTTTTGTTTTTAATCACAATCATGATTGGATGTTGCCAGTTACAGTGAACTTGTGGCTTTCCCCTTTTGATTTGTTAATATCATGTTAAAAAGTCCCTGCATTCCTGGAATAAACCCAATTTAGCCATGATCTTTTTCATAAATTACTGGATTAGTTAACTAATACAGGCACACCTTGGTGATATTGTGGGTTCCGTTCCGGACTTCGGCAATAAAATAAATATCACGATAAAGTGAGGCACACACATTTTTTGATTTCCCAGTGCATACAGAAGTTAGGTTTATGCTGTGTACAGCCATGCCACCCTGAACGTGCCTGATCTCATCAGAAGTTATGTTTCTGCTATACTGTAGTCTGTTAAGTGTGCAATAGCATTGTGTCTAAAAAAAACAGTGTGCATGCCTTAATTAAAAAATACTTGATTGCTAAAAAATGCTAATGATCATCTGAGCCTTCAGTGAGTCTTCGTCTTTTTGCTAGTAGACGGGTCTGCTTCGACGTGAATGGCTGCTGAGCACTCAGGGAGGTGGTTGCTGAAATGGGGTGGCCATTGCAATTTCCTACAATATGACATTTTGGATCTGTGTCCCTAAAATCTGACATTTTGGATCCGTGTCCCTAAAATCTAACATTTTGGATCTGTGTCCCTAAAATATGACATTTTGGATCTGTGTCCCTAAAATCTGACATTTTGGATCTGTGTCCCTGTCTGAATCTCAGTTGAATTGTAATCCCCAGTGTTGGCAGTGGGGCCTGGTGGGAGGGGATCGGATCCTGGAGGTGGGTTCTCATAGTTTAACACCGTCCCCCTAGTGCTGTAACTGTGATAGAGTTGTCGTGAGATCTGGCTGTTTGAAAGTGTGTGGCCCCTCCCCCTCTGTCTTCCTGCTGCTCTGGCCCTGTGAGACCGCGCGTCTGCTTCCCGCTTTGCCTCCGTCATGATGGTAGACTTCCAGAGGTGTTCCCAGAAACTGAGCAGATGCCACCATGCTTCTGAAACAGGGTGGAGAATTGTGAGCCAATTCAACCTCTTTTCTTTATAAATTACCCGGTCTCAATTTTTTTTTTAAGACAGGGTCTTGCTCTATTGCCCAGGCTGGAGTGCAGTGGTGTGATCTCTGTTCACTGTAGTCTTGACCTCGTGGGCTCAAGCGATCCTCCCACCTCAGCCTCCCAAGTAGCTGGGACCACAGGTGTGAGCCACCATGCCTGGCTCATTTTTGCACTTTTTGTAGAGATGGGTTTTCACCACCCTGCCCAGGCTGAACTTGAACACCTAGGCTCAAGCCATCCACCCGCCTCGGCCTCCCAAATTGCTAGGATTACAGGTGTGAGCCACTGTGCCCAGCCAGGTTTTTTTTTTTTCATTTATTTATTTATTTATTAATTTTTTGAGACAGAGTCTTACTCTGTTGCCCAGGCTGGAGTGCAGTGGCACAATCTCACCTCACTGCAACCTCTACCTCCCAGGTTAAAGTGATTCTCCTGCCTCAGCCTCCTGAGTAGCTGGGACTACAGGCACCCGCCACCACGCCTGGATAATTTTTGTATTTTTAGTAGAGACGGGGTTTTGCCATGTTGGACAGGCCAATCTCGAACTCCTAACCTCAGGTGAGCTGCCTGCCTTGGCCTCCCAAAGTACTGGGATTACAGGTGTGAGCCATAATGTCTGGCCAGCCAGGTATTTGTTAATAGCAGTGTGAGAACAGACCAATACGGACAGCAATGAAGCTTGCCACATGGATGGACTCTCTTTTTCACAAGTTTTCTCTGTAGCACGTGATGTCATTTGATAGCATTTTACCCACAGTAGAACTTCTTTCCAAATTGGAGTCACTCCTCTCAAACCCTGCAGCTGTTTTATCAATCAAGTTTATGTAACACTCTGGATCTTTGTTGTTATTTCCACAATGTTCACAGCATCTTCACTAGGAGTAGGTTCTACCTTAAGAAACCATTTGCTTTGCTCATCCATAAGAAGCAACTCCGGGCCGGGTGCGGTGGCTCACGCCTATAATCCCAGCACTTTGGGAGGCTGAGGTGGGCAGATCACGAGGTTAGGAGATTGAGACCATCCTGGCTAACACAGTGAAACCCTGTCTCTACTAAAAATACAAAAAATTAGCTGGGTGTGGTGGCAGGCGCCTGTAATCCCAGCTACTCAAGAGGCTGAGGAAGGAGAATGGCGTGAACCCGGGAGGTGGAGTTTGCAGTGAGCCGAGATAGTGCCACTGCACTCCAGTCTGGGTGACAGAGCGAGACTCCATCTAAACAAAAAAAAAAAAAGGGAGCAACTCCTCACCTGTTCAAGTTTGATCATGAGGTGGCAATAATTCAGTCACATCTTCAGACCCCACTAATAATTCTAGTTCTCTTGCTATTTCCACCACTTCTGCAGTGACTTCTTCTGCTGAAGTCTTGAACTCCTCAAAGTCATCCACGTAGCTTGGAATCAGCTTCTTCTAAACTATTAATGTTGATATTTTGACCCCCTCCCATGAATCATGCGTCTTCTTAATGGCATCTAGAATGGTGAATCCTTTCCGGAAGGTTTTCCATTTACTTTGCCCAGATCCATCAGAGGAATCACTATCCATGGCAGCTATATTCCTATACAATGTATTTCTTAAATAATAAGACTTGGCAGTATAAATTACTCCACGGCTGGGCATGGTGGCTCACACCTCTAATCCCAGCACTTTGTGAGGCTGAGGTGGGTGGATCACCTGAGGTCAGGAGTTTGAGACCAGCACGGCCAACATGATGAAATCCCGTCTCTACTAAAAATACAAAAATTACCCAGGCGTGGTGGTGCACGCCTGTAAATCCAGCTACTCAGGAGGCCGAGACAGGAGAATCGCTTGAATCTGGGAGGCGGAGGTTGCAGCGAGCTGAGATCATGCCACTGCACTCCAGCCCGGGCAACAAGAGCAAAACTCTGTCTCAAAAAAAAAAAAGAAAAAAAAAGAAATTACTCCTTGATCCATGGGCTGCAGAGTGGATGTCGTGTTACCAGGTATGAAAGCAACATTCATCTCCTTGTGCATCTCCCCCAGAGCTTTTGGGTGACCACGTGCATTGGCAATGAACAGTAATTTTTTGAAAGGAATCCTTTTTTCCTGAGCAGTAGGTCTCAACAGTGAGCTTAAAATATTCAGTAAACCATGCTGTAAGCAGGTGTGCTGTCATCCAGGCTTTGTTATTCCATCTCTAGAGCACAGGCAAAAGTAGATTTAGCATCATTCTTAAGGGCTCTAGGATTTTCGGAATAGTATATGAGCATTGGCTTCAACTTAAAGTCACCAGCTGCATTAGCCCCTAACAAGAAAGTCAGCCTGTCCCTTGAAGCTTTGAAGCCAGACATTGACTTCTCTCTAGTTGTGAAAGTCCTAGATGGCATCTTTTTCCAATATCAGGCTGTTTCGTCTACATCAATAATCTGTTGGGTGGTCATGGTGGCTCACAGCTGTAATCTCAGCACTTTGAGGGGCTTGAGGTGAGTGTATTCCTTGAGTTCAGAAGTTCAAGTCAAGACCAAGCTGGGCAACGTGACAAAATCCTGTCTCTGCAACCCCCACCAAAATTAGCCAGGCATGGTGACTTGTGCCTGTCATCTCAGCCTCTTGGGAAGCTGACTTGGGAGGATTGCTTGAGCCCAGGAGGCAGAGGTTGCAGTGAGCTGAGATCATGGCACTGCACTCCAGCCTAGGCAACCGAGTGACACCCTGTCTCAAAAAGAAAAAGAAAATCTATTGTTGAGTGTGGCCACCTTCATCAGTGATCTTAGCTCCATCTGCAGATGACTTGCTGCAGCTTCTCCGTGGGCACCTACTGCTTCACCTGCACTTTTATGTGAAGAAGATGTGGCTTCTTTTCTTAAATCTCCTGAGCCAGCAGCCTCTGCTAGCTTCCAACTTTTTCTCTGCAGCTTCCTCAACTGTCTCAACCTTCACAGAATTGAAGAGAGTAAGGGCCTTGCTAGGCACTAGGCTTTGGTTTAAGGGAATATTGAGGCTGGTTTGATCTTCTCTCCGGACCACTCGAACTTTCTCCATATCAGCAATAACGCTGTTTCATTTTCTTATCATTTGTGTGTTTACCTAAGTAGCACTTTTAATTTCCTCCAAGAACTTTTTCTTTGCATTCATCACTTGGCCAACTGTTTGGCCCAAGAGGCCCAGCTTTCGGCCTATCTCGGCTTTCACCACACCTTCCTCAGCAGGCTTAGTCACTTCTAGCTTTTGATGTAAAGTGAGAGCTGTGCAACTCATCCTTTTACTTGAACACTTACAGGCCATCAGAGGGTTATTAAGTGGCCTCATTTCAACACTGCTGTGTAACAGGGAATAGGGAGGCTGGAACAGAGGGAGAGAGATGGGAAGAGCCGCTCGGCCGAGCAGTTCAGAGCATGCACGACCTTTTTCCACTCAGTTCCTCCTCTGATGGGGGCCCGGTTCACAGCACTGAAAACAATTATGGTAGGAACATCAAAGATCACTGACCACAGATCACTGTGACAGGTATAACAATCATGAAAAAGTTTGAACGATTGCGAAAATTACCAAAATGTGACACAGACGCCAGAAGTGAGCACTTGATGTTGGAAAAACGTGGCCGATAGACTTGCTGGATTCAGGGCTGCCACGAACCTTCACGCTGCAAAAACTCAGTATCTGGAAGTGCAGCGAAGCCAGGCACAGTGAACAAGCTTCCTTCCGGCTTCTGGCGTTCATGCTCGTGAGTGAGACTGCTCCGTAATTATCCTTTGCATCCTGTTTTTGTCAGGTTTTGGCAAAAAGATTATATTAGCTTCAAAATGCACTGGGCAGGGGCCAGGTATTTCTTTCTTTCTTTCTTTTTTTTTTTTTTTTAACTTCTCTAAAAGAGTTTATGGAAGATTGGAATCCCTACACCAAGAGTGTAGGATATCACTGGTGAAATCGTTCTGAACTTAGCATGATCATTTTTTTGGTGGTGGATGTTTGACTTTTGTTTCAGTTTTGTAACGATTATGGTATTCTTTGGGTTTTCTATTTTTTTTTTTTGGTAACAGCTTTGTGGAGATATAGTTCACCCACTATATGACTCACCCATTTCGAGGGGATAAGTGTGATAATTTAATATATTCACATAATTTGTAAAGGTCAATTTGGTATAAATTGGCATATCTGTCACCATAAGTATTTGTCTCGTCTTTAAGCTAAAAACATTCAAATTCTTCTCTGCTATCTATTTTGAAATATACGATAGATTATTGTAAACTGTAGTCACCATACTGATCTATAAACACCGGGTCTTATTTCTAGGTCTTACTTCTTTTATCAAGTGTTTATCTATACCCACTAATCAACCTCTCTTCCTCTCTGCCCCTGATTTATTCTTGAGGATATTTTTGTCCGTTATTGTTCTTAGGAATTTGTCCATTTAACTTTACATTTTCAAGTTCATTCCTATGAAAAGGCATCAGTGGCCTCTGATTTTAAAAGACCTGAAGCACTGGACTCTGTTCCCCTTTCTTTCCTGACCTGATTCGCACCTCCTCTCTTTTTATCATCAACTCTCTTGATAAAACTCTTTTGATTTTATTGATCCTTTCAGAGAACCAACTTTGTGGCTTTTTGTATGTTTTCTATCTTATTAATTTCTGAGTTTTAGATTGTTTTGTTACTTCTTCTAAATTTGTTTTCCTAATTTTTTGAGATATATCTTGTGTCATTTGTTTTCGGCATTTTATTTTATTATTTATTTATTTTTTTTTTTGAGACAGAGTCTTGCTCTGTCCCCCAGTCTGGAGTGCAGTGGTGCGATCTCGGCTCACTGCAACCTCCACCTCTTGGGTTCAAGCGATTCTCCTGCCTCAGCCTCTGATGTAGCTGGGACTACAGGTGCATGCCACCATGCCCAGCTAATTTTTTTGTATTTTTTTATTAGAGACAGTGTTTCACCATGTTGCCCAGGCTGGTCTCTAACTCCTGAGCTCAGGCAGTCCGCCCGCCTTGGCCTCCCAAAGTGCTAGGATTACAGGTGTGAGCTACTGTGCCCAGCCTGTTATCAGCATTTTACAATGTTCTAATGCAGTCCACACTTAAGGTTGCCACTCCCCTTAGGAACTGTTTAGGCTGCGTCAGCCTATATGTAGTGACAGGATTTTTTTTTTTTTTTTTTTTTACTATTTCATTCAACATATTTTTGAATTCCTCTTTTGAATTTTTTGACAATTGATCACTTTTTAAAAAAAAATTTTTTTTTGAGAGAGTCTCTGTCACCCAGGCTGGAGTGCAGTGGTGCGATCTTGGCTCGCTGCAACCTCCACCTCGTGGGTTCAAGTGATTCTCCTGCCTCAGCCTCCCAAGTATGGGATTACAGGCAACCGCCACCACACCTGGCTAATTTTTTGTTCTTTGTTTTTCGTGGGTTTTTTTGAGACAGAGTCTCGCTCTGTTGCCTAGGCCGGAGTGCAATGGCACAGTCTCGGCTCACTGCAACCTCCACCTCCCTGGTTTGAGTGGTTCTTCTGCCTCAGCCTCCCAAGTAGCTGGGATTACAGGCGCCTGCTACCATGCCTGGCTAATTTTTTGTATTTTTAGTAGAGACAGGGTTTCACCATATTGGCCAGGCTGGTCCCGAACTCCTGACCTCAGGTGATCCACCCACCTTAGTCTCCCAGAGTGCCGAGATTACAGGCATGAGCCACTGCGCCCGGCCTAATTTTGGTATTTTTAGTAGAGATGGGGTTTCACCATGCTGGCCAGGCTGGTCTTGAACTCCTGAGCTCAAGTGATCCACCTGCCTTGGCTTCCCAAAATGTTGGGATTACAGGGGTGAGCCACCACGCCTGGCCGTGATAACTGTTTTTAACTTCTGAGCATACCAGGATTTTTGCAGATAACTTTTTGTTACTTTTTTTTCCCCTCGTTTAAGCGTCTGTGGGGTGAAGGAATCTGCTCTGCTTGATCTCTGTCTTCTGAAACTTTTTAGGACTTGCCTTATGGCCCAGCACACGGTCAGATTTTAAAATGTTCTGTGTGTCTTTGAACAGATTCTGTTCTGCAGTGGTAGGGGCAGCATTGTGTGTAGATTGATTGAATCAAGTTTATTCATCATGTTATTCAAATCTTCTATACTAAGGGTCAGCAAACTACAGCCTATAGGCTAAGTCTGGCTAGCTACCTGCTTTTATAAAGTTTTGCTGGACCGCAGTCACACCATTTGTTTATGTCTTGTCTACAGCTGTTTTTGCATTGTGGATTTGTCTATTTTGTCTAGCAGTTGTATCGAGTTTTGCTTTATATACTTGAGAGCTATGTTATTAGGTGATACAGACTTAAAATTTTATATCTTCCTTATGAATGAAGCGACTATTACTGTGAAATTATCTTCTTACCTTTTTAATGCTTTCTGCCTTTCAGACTTTGTCTGGAATTAATATAGCGGCACCAGCTGCCTTTTGTTTACTGTTTGCTTTGCATGTCTCTTTTATTTTTTTATTTTTAATTTTTCTGTATCTTTAAATCTGAAATGTATCTCTTGTAGACAGTGTATGATTGGAGGATCTTTTTTAAATTGAAGTTTGACAGTCCGTTTTTTTTTTTTTTTTTTTTTTTTTCAGTATTTATTGATCATTCTTGGGTGTTTCTTGGAGAGGGGGATGTGGCAGGGTCATAGGATAATAGTGGAGGGAAGGTCAGCAGATAAACATGTGAACAGAGGTCTCTGGTTTTCCTAGGCAGAGGACCCTGCGGCCTTCCGCAGTGTTTGTGTCCCTGGGTACTTGAGATTAGGGAGTGGTGATGACTCTTAAGGAGCATGCTGCCTTCAAGCGTCTGTTTAACAAAGCACATCTTGCACCGCCCTTAATCCATTTAACCCTGAGTGGACACAGCACATGTTTCAGAGAGCACGGGGTTGGGGGTAAGGTTATAGATTAACAGCATCCCAAGGCAGAAGAATTTTTCTTAGTACAGAACAAAATGGAGTCTCCTATGTCTACTTCTTTCTACACAGACACAGTAACAATCTGATCCCTCTTTCTTTTCCCCACATTTCCCCCTTTTCTATTCGACAAAACCGCCGTCATCATCATGGCCTGTTCTCGATGGTCGCTGTCCCTTCGGAGCTGTTAGGCACACCTGCAGAAGGGTTCCCAGACAGGGCGGCCGGGCAGAGGCGCTCCTCACATCCCAGAGGGGGCGGCCGGGCAGAGGCGCTCCTCACATCCCAGACGGGGCGGCCGGGCAGAGGGGCTCCTCACCTCCCAGAGGGGGCGGCCGGGCAGAGGCGCTCCTCACATCCCAGACGGGGCGGCCGGGCAGAGGGGCTCCTCCCATCCCAGAGGGGGCGGCTGGGCAGAGACGCTCCTCACTTCCTAGACGGGGTGGCAGCCGGGCAGAGGCTGTAATCTTAGCACTTTGGGAGGCCAAGGCAGGCGGCTAGGAGGTGGAGGTTGTAGCGAGCCGAGATCACGCCTCTGCACTCCAGCCTGGGCAACATTGAGTATTGAGTGAGCGAGACTCCGTCTGCAATCCCAGCACCTCGGGAGGCCGAGGCGGGCAGATCACTCGAGGTCAGGAGCTGGAGACCAGCCCGGTCAACACGGCGTCTCCACCAAAAATACAAAAACCAGTCAGGCATGGCGGCGCGCGCCTGCAATCCCAGGCACTCAGCAGGCTGAGGCAGGAGAATCAGGCAGGGAGGTTGCAGCGAGCTGAGATCAGGGCAGTACAGTCCAGCCTCGGTAACAGAGGGAGACCGAAAAAAGAAAGAAGAGGGGAGAGGGGAGAGGGAGAGCGACAGTTGGTTTTTTAAGTCTGACAACTAAAAAAATTTAACTGGATCATTTATTTGGTTTACTTTAAATGTAGCTGCAGATATTTGCGTTGAAATATACCATCTTATATTTTGTTGATTTCTTGGTCTGTGCTGATGTTTTCCTTTCCTTCTCCTTTCTTGCTCTTTTTGAGTCAACTATTGATCCTTTCATTTTCTGCCCTCCACCAGTTTGGATGTTACAGACTCTGTTCTTTTACTGGTTTCCCCACAAGCACAACATTCTTATTAAACGAATCTACAATTAACCTGTACGTTTTACACTCGGGAATATCCAAGGACCTGCAAGCATCCTTACCTTCGTTAATGCCCCTTACAACTAATAGACTGTGTATTTAAATTCTTTTTTTTTCCCCAAGACGGAGTCTTGCTCTGTCGCCCAGGCTGGAGTGCAGTGGGCCAATCTTGGCTCACTGCAGCCTCCGCCTCCTAGGTTCAAGCAATTCTCCTGCCTCAGCCTCCTGAGTAGCTGGGATTACAGGCACCCACCATCATGCCCAGCTAATTTTTGTATTTTTAGTAGAGACGGGGTTTCTCCATGTTGGCCAGGCTGATCTTGAACTCCTGACCTCAGGTGATCAGCCCACCTTGGCCTCCCAAAGTGCTGGTATTACAGGCGTGAGCCACCACACCCAGCCTGTGTATTTAAATTCTTTTTTACTTTTGAATATCACAAGACATTGCTGGATTATTACTGTTTTTTTTTTTGTAGGTACAGGGTTTCACCATGTTGTTCACGCTGGTCTCAAATTCCTGAACTCAAGTGATCCTTGTGCCTTGGCCTCCCAAAGTGTTTGGATTATAGGCGTGAGCCACTCTGCCCGGCCTGATTACATTTTGTGTTAGATTTGCACACACTTGCCGCTCTCTTTCCTTTACGTTTTGCATCTCAGACTTCCCATCTGGGATCTCTTTTTCTCCTTGAAGTGCACGTACATGAGAAATTCCTCTGGTTAGAGTGTGCTGGTGGCGAACCCGCCCCTTGTGTTTGTCCGGAAGCACTAGTTTTCCCTGCCCCTTGGGGGATATGCTTGCTGGTTGCAGAACTCTTGGTTGGCAGTGCCGTTCTTTCAGCACTTTGATGTCAGCCTCTGCTTGGCGTCAGCATCTTTTTGTGTGAAGACATCCTTGTCAGGCCATCTCTCCTTTGAAGGTAGTCTCCCTTTTTTCTCAGGTTGCTTCTAAGATCAAAATTAAAAACCTTTGTGCTACAAAGGACACCATCAAGAAAGGACGACCACAGGAAGGGGGAAGATGTTTGTAAATCACAGATCCGGCCGGGGATGTGCACCCAGAGCCTCTAAAGGTCTCTTAGAAGGTCTGAGCGATTCGTGACCGGATCCCCGGGACGCCCTTGCCCTTACCGAGTGCGTTGGGGAGGGCTGGCAGACAGGGAGGAGGGAGCCCTGCTGCTTGGGCTGGCCGCGGTGAGCAGCGGCAGCGCTGTGGTTCTGGCTCTTGCCTTCCTGCCCTGAGCAGAGCACCCCTCCCATCTGCTCCCCACCGCTGAGGATCACTGGTCCCCCAGGAGGCTTCCCAGGCATCACCTCGTGTGTGTGTGTGCAGCAGCTGCCTCGGCCCCGGTTCTGTTGGGTGTTGAGAGGAGCTTGGGAGAACCCATGACTGGGAGTGGTAGAGATTCGTGACCCAGCCCCGGTGATGCTCTCTTGACCTGCCTAGGTCAAGAAGAAATTGGGAAGAGGCGATGAACTGAGAGGAGGAGTGTCTCAGGTGCTGTCAGTACATGGTCTGCCTTTGGAGCACCGCCTTCTTTTTGCTGATTAAGTGCAGGCTTGCCTTCTAGTTTAACGTGGGCAGGCAAATAGTCCTGCTATTGCATTCTGACATAGAAAATGTACTTTGAGTGAGATGTCTTCATGGAGAGTAAATGATCTGGAGGTAGAAAGAAAAAGGCAAATGCTTTTGTTCTCTTCCAGAGACGGCTGTCAAGCTGGCTCTGCAAGTCAGGCCCTCTGCAGCTGAGGTTCCACTTTAGACATAGGTCAGTGTGTCTTGGAGAGGGAACACCTGTGAGGTCCACTGGAGAAGCCCATTCTGGATGAGTGAAAACCTGGATTTAAAAATGCAAGATTCCAGCTTGCACTTCTAGCCATGGTGGAAGATACAGACCAAATTTCACAGCCTACCTTAATCAACCAGAAAGCCAAACAAAAGTGCATGAAGCCACAGGCTTCAGACACTGGTGGCAGGCCGTGTGGACAGTGACCAGAGAGGGGCATGAGGGAAGTGAGGCCTCAGTAGCCCAGCGTGTCACCTGCAGAGTCTCCAGCCACAGGGCAGGGAGGGGAACCAGGACCTGGTGGAGACAGAGTGTGGAGTTAAGGGGCTCCAGGAAGGCTGGAATGTACAAAGAAAAATATGGAAGAAGAGGGAGTTCCATAAAGAAACAGCTCTGGAGAGCTGAGGAGGGGCCTTCCAGTCTCTGAGAGCTGACCACAGGTGGCATGTGAATGCTGCCCAGGTGAGGGAAAGGGGCGTGGGAGAGCAGGGGTGGCACAGTCCCCGAGTTCACAGGGTGGGGTGAATCTGTGTGCTCAGTGGCCAGAGGGAGAGACTCACCACCCAAGGTTGTCCTACAAAGGTCCGCTCAGGACTCACCAAACAGAGCTTACGAGCGAGATCTGAAAAGATCAAACTGGTTCTAGGTTGACTGCTCCCAGAACAAAGCCCGGAGATGCAGGACAGCAGCAAACCCAGCGTCCAGTGCCAAGTTCACAGGCACCAAGTTCACAGTGCCCAGCAGCCAAGCAAAAGTGACTGCCATACAGAAAACCCAGAAGAAGAGGAAAATCAATGGTTGGAAACATCCAGGCTAGACACTGTAGCCCCCACCTGCAATTCCAGCCCTTTGGGAGGCTGAGGCAGGAGGATCACTTGAGCCCAGGAGTTCAAGACCCTCTGGGGCCACATAGCGAGACCCTGTCTCTAAAAAGATATGTGTTCTTTTGTTTGTTTTAAGAAAATAATTAGCTGGGCATAGTGGTATGCACCTGTAGTGCCAGCTACTCAACGGCAGAGGCAGGAGGATCCCTTGAGCCTGGAGTTCGAGGCTGCAGTGAGCTATGATTATGCCACTGTACTCTAGTCCAGGCAACAGAGTGAAACTCTGTTAAAAAAAAAAAAAAAAAAAGAGAAGAGAAAAGAGAAGGGAAGGGAACTATATCTATCCAGATGATAGAGCTAGCAGGCAAGCATGTTAAGATGGCATTGATAAATATGTTCCACGTGTTCAATCAGGGCAAATATGATAAAAATAAAGAAAAAAATGGAAGATATAAAAAAAAGACCTAGGGCCGGGCGTCATGGCTCATACCTGTAATCCCAGCACTTCTGGAGGCTGAGATGTGAGGATTGTTTGAGCTCAGGAGATCAAGACCACCCTGGACAACCCCATCTGTACAGAAAAGTACAAAAATTAGCTGGGCGTGGTGGTGCACACCTGTGGTCTCAGCTACTTAGGAGGCTGAGGTAGGAGGATGGCTTGAGCCCAGGAAGGTTGAGGCTGCAGTGAGCCATGATCATACCATTGCACTCCAGCCTGGGTGACAGCATGAGACTGTCTCAAAAAGAAAAAAGACCCAAATAAATCTTCTAGAAATGAAAAATATGCTGAATGGGATTAGTGGTAGATTAGACATTGCAGAAGAAAAGATCAGTATACTTGAAGACACAGCACTTTGTAAAATGAAACACAAAGAAAGAAAGACAAAAAAATGAACAGAGCATCAGTGGGACCATATCGAGAGTAACATATGAAACTGATTTCCAGAAAAGAGGCGTGTGTGGTAGAAAATACCTGAAGACAATAATGGCTAGAATTTTTCCAGATCTGATGAAACTCATCCCGAAGAAGCTCAACAAATCTCAAACCGAAGAAACATGAAGGAATTCACCCCAATACACACCATCATCCAATTGCCGAGAATCCTGAAAGTAGACAGAGGCAAATGCTATCACATACAGATGAACAAAGCCAAAAATGAGAGCCGGTTTCTGATCAGAAACTATACAATTTGAAGACAGTGGAGGAATGCCTTTCAAATATCGAAAGACAATATTGGACACCTATCTACAAAAACAATGGCCCTTCACCCTACTTTATGCTATATTTAAAAATTAACCAAAATGGATCATAGACCTAAATGTGAAAGTTAGAACTGTAAGATTAATAGGGGAAAATATGCGATATATACACTGTCTTTGTCAATTTGGGCTGCTATAAAAAAAGTTAACACTGACTGGCTGGCTTAAGTAACAGAAATTTATTTCTCACAGTTCTGGAGGCTGGAAGTCCGAGCTCAAGGTGCCTGTAGGTTTGGTGGCTGGTGAGGGCCTCTTCCTGGTTGTGCCCTCATATGGCAGAGAGATAGGAAGCAGCTGGCCCGTGTCTTTTGGCATAATGGCACCAATCCCATTTTTGAGGCTCCTCCCTCTTGGCCTAATCCCCTGCCAATGGCCCTGTCTCCAAATATCACATTAGCAGGGAGGATTTCGACGTATGAATTTGGACCAGGCATGGTGACTCATACCTCTAGTTCCAGCACTTTGGGAGGGCGAGGCAGGCGGATCACTTGAGCTCAGGAGTTCAAGACCAGCCTAGGCAACATAGTGAAATGCTTTGTCTACAAAAAATTTAAAAAATTATCTGGGCATGGTGGCATGCACCTGTAGTCCTAGCTACTTGGGAGGCTGAGGTGGGAGAATCACTTAAGCCCAGAAGACTGAGGCTGCAGTGAGCGGTGATTGTGCCACGGCGACTCCAGCCTGGGTAACAGAGCGAGATCCTGTCTCAAAAAAAATATGAATTTGTAGCTGGGGGACACAAGCATTCAGTCCATAGTGTCTGTAGTGGAATATTATCCAGCCTGAAATGTGAATGACATTCTGACACCTGCCACCAAGTGGGTGAGCTTTGAGGACATTATACTGAGTGAAATAAGCCAGTCACATAAGGACAAATAGTGTATGATTCCACTTATATGAGGTCCCTAGAGTGGTTAACTCGTAGAGATAGAAAGTGTGATGGTGGGTGCCAGGGGCTAGCGGGGATGGGGAGTAGGTGTTTAATGGAGACAGTGTTTCTGCTTGGGAAGATGAGAAAGTTCTGGAGATGGACAGGGGTGATGATTGCACAGCAGTGGGAATGGACATAAAGCCCCTGAACCACATACCTAAAAATGGTGGATTTTATGTTAGTGGACGTCACCACAATGTAACACAAATGAGCAAACACGGGCTTTTTCCTGGTTGCCGGCAGGCAGGCTAATGGTCTGCTGGCGGGGGCTGGGCTGGGCTGGATTTTGGAGAAGCCCAGGGCTGCGGCTGGCAGGGCTTTGGGAAGCAGCGGGAGCGCATGTAAGGCTGGTGTAGCTGTCGCAGGAGCTGTGGCATCCGGAGGGGCCCATGGTGGCCCCGCCTTTCCAAGAGCCTGCAGGTGGCTGGGTGGCTTTTCCGTGTCCTTCCTGGGGCGTGACCTCTGGCGGCTCCGGGACTGTTCATTTATGAGCCATCTGTTGGGCCTCCTGGCCAGGCAGTGGGAAGCAGCGTGCCAGCAATGCCCTGAATGGCCTTGACCCTGATGTTTAAGTGACGGAGTGTTTGGTTGATCGGGAAAGGATGTTAATGCGTGCTTGTCAGTCTCCCTGACATGCAGCCTTTCGGGTTTTGAAGTGGATGCATATATTTGGTCACACGGCGTCTCTCCAGTCCTGCGCAAGCACGTTGACATGTGTGCCTTTCACTTTCAGGCTTGTCCAGCCGGAAGCCCTGAGGGCAGCTGTTCCCACTGGCTCTGCTGACCTTGTGCCTTGGTAAGTGGGCAGTGAGGCCGCCTGACGCAGGGCGCCGTGTGTGAGAGTGTGTGTGTGTGTGTGTGTGTGTGTGTGTGTGTGTGTATGTGTCCAGTGTTGGGGTCAGCGTTGGGCCTTGATACCTTGTTGATTAATTTTTCTTAAAGGTATATATTTTAACCTTTGCTTATGACCAACAGAATATTTATTACAGTCCCTTCTCATTTGTCCAAAACCCAGATGATAAAGTTCAGGTAACTTTGTTCTCTTCCTGCGAGGGATGAGCTGAGCTCAAAGGGGCTGAGCTACAAATGACGCTGGGCTGAGGCGCCTACCAGGGCACAGCGGACATGGGAGTCACCTCACAGGGCTGCCCCGGCTCTGTTAGCAGCCCAGGAAGTCCACCCCTCTCCTGGAGACCGACTGGGAGCCGTCTGTCTGGGATGGGGCAGAGGTGTGGCCCGGGGACAGCTGCACAATCCCCGTGGGGAGCCCAGCTATCTGTTGCTGGAGGGTGCTCTGCTCCTGGGGGGTCGGTGCCCTGCTCTTGGGGGTTGGTGCCCTGCTCCTGGGGGACGCGCTCCTCAGGAAGCCCTGGGTTTGGTGGAGAGCATGGAATTGCCTGGCCGTTGAGTCACTGGGTGGGCCCAGGGTTGGGGCAGCTCCTCCTGTGCTCCTGCAGCCCGTCGTCATAGGGCCCCTGCCCACTGCTCCCATGTGTTCCACCCCCGTTCCCAGGCCCGCTGCTGTGGCTGATGAGGCTGCAGGTCCCTTCTGGGTGGCCCTGGACCCTGTGTCCTTCTCCCACTGTGGCTGCTTTCTACCCAGGAGGTGTCTCCTCCAAATGCTGTCGGCAGAGATCAAATCCCATCCCTGATGTTCCAAGGCTTCCAGGTGTAACTCACAGGCCCAGTTCTTGGTAGGCAGGTGATTTAGCCTTCTGTGTCCCAGTCACAACCCAGGGTGTGTTGAAAGCTACCATTTGATAAAAACAAACATGAGCAAGATTGAAGTGACCAACACCAAGCTCGGGCTTTCAGAGATGTAGTCATGGCGGACCTCAAACAGCATTGCTGACCATCTGAGCTGGGTGCTGAATGCCTCCATAGTTTTCAAATTAAAATGACTGTATTTAGTGTCTCTTTTTTTAAAAAAAATATTTATTTATTTATTTATTTATTTATTTATTTATTTATTTATTTATTTATTTTGAGACAGTCTGGCTCTGTCGCCCGGGCTGGAGTGCAGTAGAACGATCTCGGCTCACTGCAACCTCCACTTCCCAGGTTCAAATGATTCTCCTGCCTCAGCCCCCTGAGTAGCTGGGACTACAGGCGCCCGCCACCACGTCCGGCTAATTTTTGTATTTTTAGTAGAGATGGGGTTTCACCATGTTGGCCAGGATGGTCTCTATTGCTTGACCTCGTGATCCACCTGCCTCGGCCTCCCAAAGTGCTGGGATTACAGGCGTGAGCCACTGCGCCCGGCCTAGTGTCTCTTTAGGATTGTTTTATTAAGATTGCTTATTTGATAGCAGATAACTATGAAGATACTAACGATACTATAAAGACACAGTGGCAGCTCCCAGCTAACTGGCACTCTGAGCTGTCCTCTAACATTCTGGATTCACAAAAGTTTACTTGCTGGGTTTGCTCATTGTTGATTTAATACTTTGCCTGTGGTTTAAACTGTTAAATTGTTGCAAATTGCTATTCTGTGCAAAAGAAACTTGAACTGTCCTGCACCCCCCAGTTCAGCTCTCACTGCATTCCCGCTCTTCTGCCTGTCCTTTGGCTATTGTTGGACTGTACTCAGGGCTGAGAGGAGGGCATGGGGCTTCTGCAGTCACCACAGGGCTGTGGGAAGGCCACCAGCAAGGGCTGGGGGGCCAGAGGGCTTCTGATCTGTCAGGTGCAGGGTGTGGCGCACGTGGGCTTGTGCTGTGGATGAGGTTTTGCTTCTAGGGGAGAAACCGGCCAAGGCGCGTCAGGCATCAGCAGACCTCTCCCAGAAGGAGGACATTTTGAGAAGATGAAGATGGAAATCGGTTTGATCTCCTTTGTTCCCTTTCTGGGGACAGGGACATCACGGTTCTGTAATAACTGAGGTCTAGGAAAAAGAACAGAAAGAAGGGCAGGTTGGAAACATTGTGTCTTTTGGGGCTAGTAGTAGCTGCAGAACAACCCAAATCCGATTTACAACCAAGCTTCTAGGGTGAGTAACTCGATATTCACCAAACCGGGTGACTGTCAGTGATGGCATGCCACGTATCACTTTTGGGAGGGAGGAGAGGTTGCAAAACTAAGCAGACGGTGTGGCACTGCAGCTCCCCCCCGCCCAAGCTGGTGAGTGTTAATATCGAAATCTATAGCAAAATGTTTGTCCATGACTTGCACCAGTACCTCTCGAAAGGTGCCCAAATACCTAATAAACATCTGAAAAGGCATGCAACTCAATTGGTTATCAGAGAAACGAACTTTTTAAACCAGAAATGTTGTATCACTAGACAGTCAGCAGATTGGCTAAAACCAACGAGACAGATAAGGCCAGAGTTGATGAGGAGGTGGGATGGGGCGTGATGGGACGCTTGTTCCTCATGGTGGCTGTGACCTCACCTCTTAATTTTGGAAAACTTTGGCAATATCTTCTAAAGCGGAGCAAACCCATGGCTTGTGACCCAGCAGCTCTGCTCTGAGGCGTGAACCCACAGCCAGGAGTGTCGCCGGAGCCGTGTTCATCAGGCCTGTGTGCCCTGCGGAGGTGGACTGGGTGAACACACTGCCGGCTACTTGCCCAGGGGAGCAGCATGGAATGAGCTGCGTGGAGACACCCGTGCTCCGCCTGGGCGAGCCGACACACACATGCTGGGTGGAAGAAGCGCAGTGGGTCAGCACATGTGCAAGGCCCTCGTAAGTGCAGCACAGAGACAGGCAGACCTGGCAGGGGGAACAGGAAGGGTAGCTGCCCTGGCAGGAGGCAAAGGAGGCCCAGGGGGCTTCAGGGGCTGGCGAGGGTCTGTTTCTTTTCTTTCTTTTTTTTTTTTTTTTTTTTGAGAGGGGGTCTCTCTCTGTCTCCCAGGCTGGAGCTCAATGACGCGATCTCAGGTCACTTCAGCCTTGAGCTCTCCTGGGCTGAAGGGATCCTCCTGCCTCAGCCTCCCGGTAGCTGGGACCACGGGCATGGGCCACCACACGCGGCTTTTTTATTTTTTGTAGAGACCGGGTTTTGCCATGTTGCCCAGGCTGATCTTGAACTCCTGGGCTCAAGCCCATCTGCCGGCCTCGGCCTCCCAAAGTAGTTGGGATTCGTTTCTTGATCTGGGTGCTGCTGGTCAGAGTGGATCCTCTCTGGAATTTCATCCAGCCGCATGCTGAAGATTTATGTACTTCTCTGTATCTATTACACTTTAACAAAAAGTTTCCCATAAAACTGTGCCATACCAGGTACGGTGGCTCACACCTGTAATCCCAGGACTTTGGGAGGCCGAGGCAGGCGGA
Organism: Homo sapiens; assembly: GCF_000001405.40. Taxonomy (NCBI): domain Eukaryota; kingdom Metazoa; phylum Chordata; class Mammalia; order Primates; family Hominidae; genus Homo; species Homo sapiens. The sequence goes on from NC_000021.9 coordinate 43,907,496, forward strand.
TCACGAGGTCAGGAGATCGAGACCATCCTGGCTAACACGGTGAAACCCCATCTCTACTAAAAATACAAAAAATTAGCTGGGCGTGGTGGCGGGCACTTGTAGTCCCAGCTACTCGGGAGGCTGAGGCAGGAGAATGGCGTGAACCCGGGAGGCGGAGCTTGTGGTGAGCCGAGATCGCGCCACTGCACTCCAGCCTGGGCGACAGAGCGAGACTCCGTCTCAACAACAACAACAACAAAAAAACCGTTCCATATAAGCTTCCTAAGAGCTTGCGTTTTCGGTTTCATCTGATTCCCTCTGTGAAAAATACGGGCTTCTACAAAACAGCAGACTCAAAAAGCAACAACAACCAAACCCCCAAACCCAGCAGACCGATACCATGTTAAAGCCACACGTTTGTCGATTCCCCTGCTCGGGTGTTTGCGCGCCCTCTCCGTCGCACGGCTCCGTGTGCTGGAGACCCCACGGGACCGAGTAGTCCCCACCCTCGTGGAAGCATGTTCCCGTAATAGCAGAGCAAAGGGATGATGGTCTTCGGAGGAGGGCGCTGGCTCAGGCACCCCAGGGACGCTTTCTCTTTCCGTGTGCTGGAAGACCTGAATGCTTCAGAGCCTAAATTATGTGGGAAAAACGTGTGTGTGTTCCAAAGCTGGAGTGAGATTTCCAAGGCTTGTATGAGGCACTTGGCAAGCTTCACTTGTGCCCTAAAGCACAAAATACCAGGGCTTGGGGTGAATTTGGTGATATCCAGAGCTGGCAGCTTTGTTGGGGCTGGTCACTCCCCAGCCCTGAGGACTCTGGGGAAGGAATGCCTGTCGTGAGCGGAACCAGCCAAGTTCACACATGGCCACCTGCCAACCTGACCTGTGTGTTGAGCCCCGGCCCTTCTCGATCAGAAAGGAGGTGTCCCGATCAGGGGGAGCACATGGGCTGGGAACTTGTGGAACCCGGTGTGTATGACTCGCTCCGTGATTCATAACAAGGCATTTGCTTTCCTGGGCCTTGGTGACCTGTCTGTGAAATGGGCACAGGAGCCCAGCTCTTGCATAGACAGAAGGTGAGGGCATGGGGTAGGGGGAGTGGAGCCGTGGGTGCGGCACTAGAAGGATGAGAAAGGACCTATGGCCTCCAGCTCCGGGTTCAGGGCTGTGTCCAGGTTCAGGGGACTGTGAAATGCCAGCAGCTTCTAAAACCTTTGGGTTCTTTAAGAAAAGGCTAATTGCAGAGGATGCTCACTGATGAGGGCGAGGATCAAAGCCCGTGCTGCGTCAGCGTGGTGGCCTGCCAGCTCCAGGCTGCAAAAGTCCCTCGTCATTTCATTTCCTTCCATCCCTGTGGAGCGAACCCTGTTGTTTGCATTTTTTGGATGAGGGTACAGGCTCAGGCTCAGCTCACACGGTCCCCGGATGCCCCTGCTGTGCTCCGAGGTTGGCCTGCGTCTTTTGCTCCTGGGTCCTTACGTGCCCTGTCACAGCCAGCCCTGCCCTGGAGAGAGAGGCCACTGGGAAAAACCCTGAGAGCAGGCGGGCCTCACCTGAATAGGACTTCATTCGTTGATTTTAATTTTTACTTACTATTTTTTTTCTTTGTACAACAAACATTGTCTGATAAGGGACTTCACTCTTCCAACTTCAAGAAAGGCTCCTCCCGGGTCTGGGTGCTCCAAGGGCCCCATTGGGCCGATCCTCTGACATCACTTGGTGTGGCTTCCTCGGAAGCTACAGGCCCCTCGGTCCATGGCCCCTTCACGGCAGGCAGTGGACTGGCCGGCGGTGGGCCACTCATTTTTCATACACATTTTTTTTTTTTTTTTTTTTTGAGACGGGGTCTCACTCTGTCGCCCAGGCCGGAGTGTGGTGGCGTGATCTCGGCTCACCGCAAGCTCCGTCTCCCGGGTTCACGCCATTCTCCTGCCTCAGCCTCCCGAGTAGCTGGGACTACAGGCGCCTGCCACCATGCCCGGCTAATTTTTTTGTATTTTTAGTAGAGATGGGGTTTCACCGTGTTAGCCAGGATGGTCTCGATCTCCTGACCTCGTGATCCACCTGTCTTGGCCTTCCAAAGTGCTGGGATTCCAGGCATGAGCCACTGTACCCGGCCTTTTCATACACATTTGAAGAGGACTTTAAAGTGTTCTTGAGTCTTTCCTGGATAATGAAAGGTATCCCGACGGTGCTGTTCCATCATATTTGTCTCAGGTCTCGTCTCTCCTTGCTCTGCCCTCGTTGCAGGAGAGCCTGGCTCCCAGGCCTGCAGGCCGGCTGTGGATCTCCGAGAAGCCACTGGGTGGGACTTTGTTCTCTGCTGCAGGGGGAAGCTGTGAGGGAGCACTGGGCCCCCGCCCTGAGCATTAGTACACCGTCCTGCAGGGTCTATCTGAACGCTAGCCCGGTGGGGAGGGGGGCCCAGGCCTCATCATGGAGAGGGTGGTGGTGAGGAGTAAGCCCCCAGGTCTGCACCAGGGTGCCCCAGGACACCCTGGACTGGGAGTTTAGGAGACCTAGGACGCATCCTGGGGAAGTGAGGCAGGTGTGTGGTGTCTTGTTCTTTCCGGGTTAAAACCCACAGCGTGACCCGTGGCTGGGATCCCCCTGTTCGTGAGTTCTCAAGGAAGGGGAGCCTGCAGGGTGTGACTCACACCTATCTCAGGAACACAGAGGACAGAGAGGGATGGAGACGGCCTCCCTCTGTGCTCCTGGCCTCTTTCTGGGGAGTGCGTGTTCAGCCCTGATGGCAGCCAAAGGTTTGTGCCAGGCTGGTCCTGCGCCCGTGAGAGGGTGCTGGTCTGCAGAGATTGGTGACAGATGCCCTGGAGGAGGGGAGTGGAGCCACAGGTGTCTCCCAGCGGCTGTGGCCGCGCGTATTGCCAGCAGCAGTCTAGGGTCCTAATACAGTGAGGTGAAGGAGGAGGTGAAGTGCTAATACAGTGAAGTGAATTAGGTGAAGTCCTAATACAGGTGAATTAGGTGAATTAGTGAATTAGGTGAATACAGGTGAATTAGTCCTAATTAGGTGAATTAAGTGAATTAGGTGAAGTCCTAATACAGTGAGGTGAAGGTGGAGCGGAGGGCCGAGGAGGGCCGGCCTTCCCTCTGGAAGCAAGTGTGCTGTATGCCCACGGGGGACTGGAGGAGGTGGGTGTTCCGGTCACTGCAGTTCTTACATCTTTGCTGTGTGTGGGAGGAGGAATTATCTTTGTGCTCTGAAGTGTGATGTATATGAGGGGAGAGCAAAGGGCTCAGACTTTGATCTGCCAAGCTGTGTCTCGTGAAGTCAGGTATTCTGCAAGGGAAGCTTTTTTCTTAAGAAACAAATCTCATCAGTGTTCAGGACAAGGCTGTACTGTTCCAACCACCGCAGAGATGGAGGGTTGGAGGTTAAGGCGCACAAGTTAATTTTCCATTTGATATTTATGTTTTCATTATAAAAGTAATACATGCCTATGAAAATTAAACACAGAGCCAAATCTAATAAATAATTAAAATTGCATTCTTTACTCCATTCCACATCCCACTCCGTTTCCTGGAGGGAACCACTGTAAGCGGTTTGTGGTTTATCCTTCTAGAGTTTATAAAAAATACACATAAGAACATACATACACCGACAGAGTTTCCAAAAATGCACCTACGTGTCATGACATCTCTCTGCAAAACCTGACTTTAATTTGTCTTGGAAAACTTTTACTACACATAGATCTACTTCATTTAAAGAAACACTTCCTCTTTTATGCATGTTCTAAAGAGATACCTGTAGGCACACACACACATGTGCATTGTAAGAACTGTCCGTGTGATAGTTTTGGAGCACAGTTACCTGATTATCAGTCTACTAGAACCCGAGTGTGCTTTAAAGACTTGAACTGTGTTTGTGTGATTTGGAAAGTGTCCTAGAGCTGCGCTCTTATATTGAGGGGCTGGGCAGGGTCAGAAGCAGCCTGTCCAGGCCAACGCAGCGAGGCCTGTCTGGGAAGATTGCAACACTGGCCCTCACAGCTCCCTGGTCTCTGGGTGACCCCGCCTGGCCCAGATGCCGCCTCGCTGGAAGGCAGACTTTGCCTCCTGCCTGCTCTTTCTTTCTGTCTGTCTGGTGCCGTTCATAAGTTCATAAAGGTGGCAAGGAGGCCCTAGGTGCTCCGTGGCCTGGGCTGCAGACTCCTTTTCCACTCTGGAGCTGCTGTGCTCTGGAACATCCCACACGGGGTTCCTCCCATTGGAACACAGGTAAAGGGCTCTATGCATGCACATTTCTGCGTGTTTTATTGACCGGGTCATCTGTGTTCATTAGCTAGCAGCTCCCCTGCAGTCCTCTGAAGTGCAGGCCAGCAGAGACGGGGGCGGTGGCTTTCGTCTGACCATGCCTAGTCACGAGGCTGCTGTGTGTCTGTGCGTGTGTCTTCTCTCAGACACTGCCTGCCTGGCACCCCCTTACCTCTTGGTGAATGTAATTCAAAGCAAAGGCTGCCCCTGGAGCTTCCAGGCTGGGCCCCAGCGCATCTTGCTCTGCTGGTTTGGCATTAGGTCAGGGGTCCTGGTGGAACTCCACGGACTCATGGGCATGGTGGCACTGGGAGCCTAGAGGTATCTTAGTCGTCCTCACAGGCTCAGCTTGAGCATTGCCGTAAGTGTTCATCTCAACACTTCCATGTGAATTGGAATCAGGAGGTGTGTCCATGGCAACACGTGGGCCCGAGCTGGATGGGACCACTGTGTGCCTTCAGTCCAGCCTGCCAGAGTGGCAGAGGACGATGCCGGGGCCATGGGGCAATCCTGGCACGCGAGCAAAGGGTGGGGCACATGTGAGCCACGTCTCCTTTTATCGTGGCCTTGTCTCCCTTCCTCATCTCTCCCAAGTGAGGATGAATTTCTCCTGAGGAAGGCGCTGGCCATGGCGCAGACCTAGCGAGGATGGCAGGCAGCCCCCGTGGGCACCAGGGGTGCTCTGGCCATGGCCAGGAACTTGTGGATTTTCCGTGCAGATGATTGTGTTATGTCCAAATGATGAAAGCTTGCTTTGTTCTTTCCAATCTTTGTTTCTCTCCTTTACTCGTCCTATGCCAGTGGCTGCAGGAAGTGCCCTGAGGAACGGGGCCTCATGCCTACTTCTTTCTTAATCAGTGGTGCGTGGCCATGGACTTCAGCATCTGCTTTTCCTGAGTCTAAATGCAAATCATCCTGTTGCTTTTCTCCTTTTATCACTTATCGTCAATAGTCCTGTTAATTGGTCTTCTATAGTAAACCATTCCTGTGTCCCGGGATAAACCATATGTGGTCATGATGTTTTGGTAAAGTTCTGGCTGGAGTCAGTTTGCAAATGTTATTTACTGTGGGTATTCCATCGCTGTGCATGCACGAGGCTGGCCTTTAACTACAGGGCACTCTGCCTTGTCCCTGACGGTTGCTGCGGTGCCTCCGGTGTTTGCCCAGCGAGTGAAATGCTGACTGTGGCCTGTGAATGAGCACCTCACTGGAAGTTCAGTGAATGTGTTCTCCTCGGAGAGGCAGACATTGAGGACGTGTAATATTTAGTACTGGCCCCTGCTTTACTGAGTGTTTTTATTGGGAAGCAGGGTTGAATTTTGTTGTGCTGCCTGTCAAGCCTTCTTGTTAAGGAATCAGATGAACTTTGTTAGTCAATTTCCTCATAGCAAACCATCCTTGCATTCATGAAACAGATCCACATGGTCATCATGTATGTGTTGACTTTTTAATGTGCTGTTAGCCCTGTTTGCTAAATTTTAAAGAAATTTTTGCATTCATAGTCATATGAAGAGCAGTGGTTCTCAAACCTATGGGCAGTTTACACTCTTAAAAAATTACTGAGGGCCTGGTGTGGTGGCTCATGCCTATAATCCCAGCACTTTGGGAGGCCGAGGTGAGCTCAGAAGTTTGAGACCAGCCTGGGCAACATGGTGAAACCCCGTCTCTATAAAAAAATACAAAAATTAGCCAGGCATGGTGGTGCACGCCTCTAGTACCAGCTACTTGGGAGGCTGAGATGGGAGGATCACCTGAGCCCCAAAGGTGGAGGTTGCAGTGAGTTGAGATCACCCCACTGCACCCCAGCCTGGGTGACAGAGCGAGACCCTGTCTCAAAAAAAATTATTGAGGACCCCAAAGAGATTTTGCTTTTGAGTTGCGGCTATTGTGGTCCTTAACTGGGGTGACTCCCTTTGTCCCTTGGCGGACATTTGGCAATGGCAGGAGATGTTTTTGGTTGGCAGCTGCTGGGAGACAGTCACTCCTGCATCAAATGCACAGAGACCAGGGAGGCTGCTGAATCCCGCAGGGCACAGCCGGCCCTGCAGCAGAGTTATCCCATCCAAAATGCCAGGAGTACCGAGGTCGAGAGACCTCTAATATGGTGTTGATATACACTAGGTAAGAAATTAACAGTGAGAACATTAAAAAATATTTAATAATTCATTTCAAAGTCCAATGCATACAAAAAAGTATTTTTTTTCCTGTGTCCTGGGATAAACCAGCTTTTGTAAGGAAAACCCATAGTTTCCAAAATTAGTAAGGACAGTGGCCCTGTTTTCTATTTTTATCAGTCTCTTTGATGTCTGACCTCAGAGGCCACGGCTGACGTCTCTCTGCCTCTGCAGGCAGCCTGTTGCTCTGTGTCGTGGTTGAGGCTCATAAAGAAAATTATGCTGCACAAGGCTATGCGCTCATGAAGAAGGCTGTTGGAACCCCCCTGCCTGCGAGGCCTGGGGCCCCCTGGGGTCCTTACGCCACAATTTGAGATGGTGATTTAGACAAATTTCCTTCTTCCCTTCCCTCTGCACTCTTTCTCCTTGTGAATTTTATGTCAGTGTTGCTTCATTAAAGGGATTGGGACGTCTTCCTTCTTTATGTTCTGGGAAAGTTTAATTAATGTTAAAATAGTCTATTCTTATAGGATTTGTAGAATTCACTTGTGAAATCATCTGCCTTTGGTACTTTTGTTAGAGGTAAATTTTAAAAAACTGTTTAATAGATATTTTAATTATTTTTATTTAAAAATTTTTTAAAATATGAGATTCCATGTAGAGGTTTTTTTTGTTTTGTTTTGTTTTGTTTTGTTTTGTTTTAGAGCTGAAGTCTCAATCTCTTCCCAGGCTGGAGTGCAGTGGTGCGATCTTGGCTCACTGCAGCCTCGAACTCTTGGGCTCAAGCAGTCCTCCTGCCTCAGCCTCCCAAGTGGCTGGTGTGCCCCACCACGCCCAACTAATTTTTAAATTTGTTGTAGGGATGGGGGTCTTTCCATGTTGCCCAGGCTGGTTTCGAACTCCTGGTCTCAAGTGATCCTCACAGCTCGGCCTCCCAAAGCACTGTTATCACAGGCCTGAGCCACCGTGCCCAGTACTCAGATATTTTAATTCTGTAAAAACAAGTCTTTCTTAATTCTATAAAATTCTATAAAGATAGTTCTGTTTAAACTATCTTTTCCATGGCCACACTTTATAATTAATTTTTCTCCTAGTAAATTATCCATTTTATCTAGATTTCAAAATTTATTTGCATAGAGATATGCAATTATTTCTGTGAGTTTTTAAAAAATGTATTTTATTTTGATGATTATTTCCTCTTTTGTTTTTTTGAGATGGAGTCTTCCTCTGTCACCCAGGCTGGAGTGCAGTGATGCAGTCTTGGCTCACTGCAACCTCCAAGTTCAAGTGATTCTCCTGCCTCAGCCTCCCGAGTAGCTGGGATTACAGGTGCGCGCCACCATGCCCGGCTAATTTTTGTATTTTTAGTAGAGATGGGATTTTACCATGTTGGCCAGGCTGGTCTCAAACTCCTGAGCTCAAGCAGTCCGCCCTCCTCAACTTCCCAAAGTGCTGGGATTACAGGCATGAGCCACTGCGCCTGCCCCCCAGCCCTGTTTTCTTATTTTGTATATTTTTATTCTCCATTTTCTTGATTAGCTTTTTTTTTTTTTTTTTTTTTTTTTTGCGACAGTCTGGTTCTGTTGCCCAGGCTGGAGTGCAGTGGTGCGATCTCGGGTCACTGTAACCTCCGCCTCCCAGGTTCAAGCGATTCTCCTGCCTCAGCCTCCTGAGTAGCTGGGATTACAGGCATGCACCACCATGCCTGGCTAATTTTTGTATTTTTAGTAGAGACGGGGTTTCTCCATGTTGGCCAGGCTGCTCTTGAACTCCTGACCTCAAGTGATCCACCCGCGTTGGTCTCCCAGAGTGCTGGGATTACAGGCGTGAGCTACTGTGCTGGGCCTTGATTAGCTTTTTTTAAAAACTGCTATAAGTAGCTTACTGTTTTGTTGATTTAAAAAAAATTTCAATTTAGCTATTAAGATTAAAAAAAATTTTTTTCCTTTTATATTTATTAATTCCTTCAGTTACTTTGTAATTTTCAACTTTTTAAGTTGGAGGCTTCATTCATTCTCTTACTGTCTTGCTTTCATTTCTAAAGATGTAAAGTAATCAATGGGTTAAATTTTCCTCTAAAGCACTGCTTTAGTTTTATTAGTATGGTTTCTAAAAATTCTTCAGTTTTTACTTCTATTTTCCCTTTAAGAGGAATATCTAAGAAGATAATGTTTAAATTTCAGTGTAGAAAACCCTGTTTTCTGATTTTGTTACTAATTTCTAGGGAATATTGTTTGTATTTTAATTATTACTTGGTATTGGTTGAAAATTTCTTTGCTGCTTAATATATGGGTGCTGTTTATGAATGTTTCCATGGGATACTGAAAAAAGAAAGGTGTGTTCTCTCTTACCAAGTACAGAATTGCCTCTTTCTCCTTATGCACTGCTTCTTTAATTTTGTTGTTTATATGTCTGACAGCCTTGTGTGCTTATTTCTTGCCCGCGTGTTCTGTCTCGGGTTGGAAGGGACACGCACGTCTCCTGCCTTCACATGCTGAGATGGGTTTCTGTAGCATCCCCAGAATTTCTGCTGAATGAAGTGTGTCGGGTTATTTGGTACGAACATATCGAATGACTATATCTGCTCTAAGAATTTTAGTTTTAGCGTTATATTCCTGATGTCTCATTTATTTCATTTGGCCTGATATTTTATTGTCTAATATCAAGATATTGAACCCTTTTTTTTTTTTTTGCATTTTTCCAGTATATATTTATTTCATGTATTTTTAACTCTGCTGAATTTCTCTGTTTTAGGTCTTTCTCTTCTATCTGCAGAGTTGGGGTTTGTTTTAAGCCAGTGCGAATGTTGTCCTTTTAGTAGGTGATTGGAGGCTTTTTGTATCGGTAGATATGATTGGTGTGTTTGGACCAGGGCTGTGGTCATTTTGTGTATTTTAGGGAGTTGCAGATAAAATACATGCACGTTCGCACACACAGCACAGACGCCTGCATCTTCCCATGCGTGGTTTCTGCTCTTGCCTCTCTGGGTTTTTGTTTCACTTCGGTCGAGTTTTTGGTGGTGTTGAGCGGATAGCCGGGGAAGTTGGAGTCTTGTTTGTGGCCGCCTCGTGCTCGTGTCTGTATCTAAGATCCTCAGGCTGCTCCTTTTTGGGTAAGGTCTGTTGCTTCTCTAGGAACAGTGACGGTGGCAGAGCCCGTGGCCCCTCTCTCCTGTCCCAGAGCCAAGCTGTTTCCTCTCCCCACTCCCGGGCACCCTGCGGGCAAGTGAGGGGGGCCCACTCTGCCCTGGCCTGCCCCACCGCCCCATTTGCTGGGTTGTCCTCAAAGCACACGGTAAGCACCCCCGCCCCCGCCCCCCACACACGTACCGCTGTCAGCCTTCTTGCTCGTCACCTCCATCCAGGGCACATCCGCCCCTCTGGGTGCTGTGAGCCTGTTGCCGGCGCGGTCCCGCTGCTCCTCCTTCTGCTGCCCTGCACTGCCGTGGCACAACCCTCCCTCCGGGTCTCTGCTGAGCCCTCCAGGCGCTCAGGTCTGCCGTCTGGTTGCAGGTGTTTTATAGAGTGCAGCTTTACGCTCCCACTCCAGTCATCTCCACGTTGGTGTCCGTCTGTGTGTCCTCTCTGCCTTTAAGTTCTGCCTCTGTGTGACACAGTTTCACAGTTTCTGTGACCAAAACACAGGTTTAGTCGCTTGCTGCTGGCAGAGTCCAATTAACAAGAGCACGTCGGGTATAAAGAAAGTGACTTTATTCCAAAGCTAGCTTAGGGGAAGAGGTAAAGTGAGGGTACCACTTTGCTTTTGGAGCAGAAAGTGGGAACTTTTAAAGGTGGGGGGATGTGTGGCACACAGGGGAGGAGGCTGGCAGGTGGGGGTCCGCATAACTCGTTTCGCTGCCTTATCTACCGGGTGGTCGAGTTGGCATCTTCCCCGGCAGAACTGTGTTGGGGTGTTGTGGGTATTGTGGGTATTGTGGGGGTTGTGTTGTGGGTGTTGTGGGGGTTGTGGGTGTTGTGTTGTGGGTGTTGTAGGAGTTGTGAGTGTTGTGGGGGTTGTGGGGGTTGTAGGGGTTGCGGGTGTTGTGGGTGTTGTAGGGGGTGTGGGTGTTGTGGGTGTTGTGGGGGTTGTAGGGGGTGTGGGTGTTGGGGGTGTTGTGTTATGGGTGTTGTGGGGGTTGTGGGTGTTGTGGATGTTGGTGTTGTAGGGGTTGTTGGTGTTGTGGGGGTTGTGGGTGTTGGGGTTGTGGGTGTTGTGGGTGTTGTGGGTGTTGTGTTGTGGGTGTTGTGTTATGGGTGTTGTGGGGGTTGTGGGTGTTGGAGTTGTGGGTGTTGTGGGAGTTGTGGGTGTTGTGGGAGTTGTGGGTGTTGGGTTGTGGAGGTTGTGGGTGTTGCGGCGGTTGTGGGTGTTGTGGGTGTTGTAGGTGGCCAGAACTTTCCAGGTGGAGAGAGTTAGTTCATAACAGCACTTTGGGTGTGGATCAATTGTTGTCTCTAGAGGTAGCCACCTGGTGGCTGAGGGTTCCCCTGGAGCTCCTGAGCACATGGTTAGGTGAGCTTGCCCCATCGGCAGTGTCCAGTGAATGGAAGGGAAAAGGGTATAATTGCATTTCTAAAGGGCTATGTAGGAAGTGGGGAACAGGGGGAAATGGAGACAAGAGAAGAGAAGAGATAAAAATAATTTAGAAACAGAAAAATGGGGGACACTTGGTTACATTTTAGCTTTGTGTGTCTCTGTAAATCTAGCAATCTGGCAGACTGCTGGCTTTTTTTTTTTTTTTTGAGACTGACTCTTGCTCTGCCACCCAGGCTGAAGTGCAGTGGTACGATCTTGGCTCACCGCAATCTCCGTCTCCCGGGTTCCAGTGATTCTCCTCCTGAGTAGCTGGAATTACAGGCGTGCGCCACCACGCCCAGCTAATTTTTCTATTTTTAGTAGAGATGGGGTTTCACCATGTTAGCCAGGCTGGTCTTGAACTCCTGGCCTCAAGCCATCTGCATGGCTCAGCCTCCCAAAGTGCTGGGATTACAGGTGTGAGCTACCCCTGCCGGCTGACAGCTAAATTTTTAAATGCTGTTTATACTTGTGATTACTTATGTGTTTAACTTTTTTTTCTTTTTTTGTCTTAACTTTCTACTTTACCATCACCATCGTTATTACTTAACATTCTTTTCCTTCACTTTCCTGCCTGCTCTGAGACTGGGTGAAGTTTGTTTTTATTTCCTGTTTCTCCTACTGCAGAAGTCACACATCTGTCCATCATTTATATTCTTGGAGTGTCGTCCTTAAATGTTAGGATGCATGCTTGATGTCACAAAAGTTTACCGGTGTCTCTATTTTCTTTTTTTTTAAACTTCACTAGTGTGTGGGGTACAGGTGGATTTTGGTTATGCGGACAGGTTCTTTAGTGGCGAATTCTGAGATTTTAGTGCACCTGTCACCCGAGCAGTGGTACACTGGACCCAATATAGAGTCTCTATCCCTCACCCCCTTCCCAATTTCCCTGTCCATTATATCACTCTATGTTTTTGCGTTCTCATAGCTTAGCTCCCACTTATAAGTGAGAACAGTTTTTGGTTTTCCGTTCCTGAGTTTCTTCACTTAGAATAATGGCCTCCAGCTCCATCCAAGTTGCTGTGAGACATTATTTTGTCCCTTTTGATGGCTGAGTAGTATTCCGTGGTGTATATGGACCACGTGTTCTTTATTCACTCTTCGGTCCATGGATGCTTTAGGTTGGTTCTGTATCCTTGCAATTGCAAGTCATCTTGCTGCAAACATGCATATGTCTTTTTCCGCTCATGGCTTCTTTTCCTCTGGTAGATACCCAGGAGTGGGATTGCTGGATCGAATGGTGGATCTACTTTTAGTTCTTTAAGGAATCTCCATGCTGTTTCCACAGTGGTTGTACTAGTTTACATTCCCACCAGCAATGTAGAGGTGTTCCCTGTTCACCACATCCATGCCAGCCAAAAATGTGGAATGCTTCACGAATTTGCATGTCGTCCTTCTGCAGGAGCCACGCTAATCTTCTCTGCCTCGTTCCGGTTTTAGTACACGTACTGCTGACGCAAGCATGGGTGTCTCTGTTTTCTTCCCAAATAGTGTAAAGATCTTGGAGCCGGGACTTTGGTTCCATGGTGTTTTCAAACCGGCTTTCCTCATGTGTGGGTGCCATGCGGGCGTCTGCATCTCCATGCTTGGAGTCCGCGGGGGGTCTCCAGACAGGATCCTGGTTGTCACCTGAAGCTTGGAGAAGGGACAGGAGTGCACTGCAGGCGGGGGTGTGACCACGTCCGCACCCCTCCCAGAGTGCGAGGCTGTGTCTTTTTAGTCCATTTCTTCCCCCACTGCATGCTGGGACACTCATCATGTCTTCAGCCCTGTGTGTGTGTGTGTGAGAGATTGTGAGTGAGTGTGTGTGTGTAAGGGTGTGTGTAAAGCGTGAATGTGTCAGTGTGAGAGTGTGTGTGTGCGTGTGAGTGTTGAATGTGTGTGTGAGTGTGACTCGGCTGAGAGGAGACAGCGCAGCTGGGCAGGTGATGCTTGGTGAGTGTGATAGTGTGATGTAATCAGAAACATACTTTGGTCTCTGGCCCTGGCTCTGGGCACACAGCTCCTACAACCTTTAGTGCTGAGTGTCTTTTTTTTTGCTAATGAGGTGACTGTGGCTGGGGCTCCAGGACAGCCTCCTGGGGGACTGGTTGCCAGGGCAACTGACCATGTAATTAGAGGTTGGGACTCCACCCGTGGACCTCTGGGGAGGGGAGGGAGCCCGCAGAGGTGGAGTGGATCACCAGTGGCCGGTGTTCTGCTCGATCGTGCCTGTGTAATGAAGCCTCCACAGACTCCCTCAAGGACAGCGTTTGGGGGCTTGCAGGCTGCTAAGCACGGGGAGGTTCCCGGAGGGTGGAGCCCTGGGGAGGGTACAGCAGCTCCGAGCTCCCTGCCCCATACCTCACCCTGTGCATCTCTTCATCTGTATCTTTTGTAACATCCTTTATAAAAACCAGTAAATGAGGCCAGGCGCGGTGGCTCACGCCTGTAATCCCAGCACTTTGGGAGGCTGAGGCGGGCAGATCACGAGGTCAGGAGATCAAGACCACGGTGAAACCCCATATCTACTAAAAATACAAAAACTTAGCCGGGCGTGGTGGCGGGCACCTGTAGTTCCAGCTACTCAGCAGGCTGAGGCAGGAGAATGGCGTGAACCCTGGAGGCGGAGCTTGCAGTGAGCCGAGATCGGGCCACTGCATTCCAGCCTGGGCAACAGAGCAAGACTCTGCCTCAAAAAAACAAAACAAGACAAAACAGTAAATGTGTCTCCCTGAGTTCTGTGAGCTGCTCTGGCAAATTAATTGAACCTGAGGGGGAGTCATTGGAAAGCCACCCTGTAGCTGGTCAGTCAGAAGCACTGGACACTCCTGTGCCCTGGACACCCCAGGCCTCGCCCTGTGCTCCTCTCCGCCCAGCTGTCCATCCGGATCCTTCATAACACCCTTTATAATAAACCAGTAGACGGTGTTCCCAGAGTTCTGTGAGCCGTCCTAGCAAATGATCAAACTCAAGGAGGGCACCGTGGGAACCCCAGCTTAGCCGGGTGGTCAGGAGCACAGGTCACAAGCTAGGATCAGCATCCTGACCCGGTGGTCAGGAGCACAGGTCACAAGTGGGGCAGTCTCCAGGGCGAGCCCTGGCGCCATGGGATTTTCTGATGCCGAAATCCCCACCCGTTTTGGTGAGCAGAGCATTCTGTGTTGAGTGTTGAATGTGGGGACAGAAGGAAAGAAGAGTTTGTTTCCTGCGGGTGAGACTCTGGGCTGCACCAGGTGATGAGCAGCCCTGGAGCGCTTGTTAGTTTTGTGGTGCCTTTGAAGTCACTTCGCTGGGTCCGCAATCAAAAGCCGGGGTTGGTGGTGGTTCTTTTGTTAATCAGTAATTAGCTCCACACTGTTGATTCTCTGAGCTCTTTTTTTTTTCCCCCAGGGATAAAGCGTTAATTACTTTTTTAACACGATACTAACCTCCTGACAGCCTCCCACCCCAAGCTGGGTGTCTGGGGACGGCGGGCCTGTCTCCCCCACCAAGGTGTGGGGTGAGTGTGGAGAGGACATTTCACAGCTCCCCGGGGGTCACCATCAGTGTGAGTGTTGGGACATTCTTTTCCTGATTTCTCTGTCTCTCGATGCCATTTTTGTGAAGGTTTAGCAAATACTTGATAGATTGTTGTGAGAATGTGGGCTTCCTTATTTGGGGGAGATTTTTTATAATGGAAAAGGTTTCCTTTTTTGGAAGTCACCTGGGGACGGGGATGAGTCACCCGGGGGCCTTGGTGCATGTGGAGGCCCAGGCTTGTGGGGGAGTCGCACAGAGCACGTGTGTGATGCATTTATCAGGGCCTTTCTCAGCCTGGGGACGAGGAGTGGATGTGACGGAGGAGGCTCCTGTTCTTGTGGGGGTGGCGAGGCGAGGATGGTGAACACATCAGCAAACAGGAAGCGTGGGGGGAAGCGTGCGTGCGAAGGAGTGCAGCCCCCAGGACGCTGGGCCGAGCCAGGCAGGGACCTGCTTCAGTCCTCGAAGGAGGCTGCTGGCTTGTGACCCTCCTTAACCCCACCCTCAAGGCAGGCAGCGAGTGGAGGAGAGTCTCCCTGGGACCCTCCTTAACCCCACCCTCAAGGCAGGCAGCACGTGGAGGAGAGTGTCCCTGTGTCCCTGGAAGAGAGGCCTGCATGGCAGGGGGCACAGAGACTCTGGGCCTGGGTCCCCCCCGGCACAGTCTGTGACCTGTGACCAAAGGCTGAAGTCTGGGCTGGAGCTACCTGCTCTGTGGGAAACAACAGTGTGCTCTGGGCTTCCATGGGGTCTCCCAGCTCAGGGGCTGTGGCTCAGGAGCCATGTGCCAGGCAGGGCACTCCGTCAGTGTAGGGTCTCCCAGCACAGGGGCTGTGGCTCAGGAGCCACGTGCCAGGCAGGTCACTCCGTCAGCATAGGGGCTGCCATGAGGATTGGCTGCATTTTTTCGCTGTGTGATGTGACTGGCTGCCCAGTGGTGGTGGCAGAGCCAGCCTGGGGTCTGGGCATGGGGCGCCTGTCCCCAGCGGGGCGGGCTCTGGGGTGCGAGCGTCTGTTCTGTGTCAGGAGTCCCTGTTTCTTTCTCCCCATGCTCACACGGGGTTTTTAGACTTTGTGAAGGGTGTGCTTCCCAAAGAAAACCAGCTGCAGGTGTCTGTGCTGGCACAAGGAGAACAAACCCAGAGAGCACTGGGTTCTTTCCTAGAGGGGATGGAATCCAGCCAGGCGTGCCATGAGGCTCGCAGCCTCGGGGACCTGTGCTCACCAGCACACCACCAGTGCCCAGGGCTCCTTGTGCTGCAGGAAGGGACACTGGCATGAAGTAGGGGGTGGGGGGAGTCGCTGTCTGGGGGGCACTCCATGTACCTCCAGATTCATGCACTCGGGGACCGGGCAACGCCTCGGGAAGCAGCCTGCGCTGATGTCAGGATCTATAGTTTAATACTCGTTAGTTTGTCCCCTGTGAAAAGGAAAGAAAGATTTTCTCCCTACTGCACTCTCATACTCAACACAGAACACTTCTGCCGTGAGATGCGTGGATGTTTCCCCACAAGCAGTGCTCCAGGGCACCCACCCAGGCGCCCTCCAATTCCATTGAGTTCTGACGCGTCAGATCCCCCAGGGCCAGGGCCCAGTCCCACAAGACTGCCCCACTGTCAGATGCCAATCCCAGGTTGTGATCCATGACCCAACTGGCTGGAAGCTGGGGTTCCCATGATGCCCTCGAGTTTGAACATTTGCCAGGACAGCTCACAGAACTCAGGGAAATACCAGCTGTGTCTGCTGGTTTCTGGTAGAGGGTGTTACGAAGGATCCGATGGACAGCCAGGGGGAAAGGGGTACAGAGTGAGGCCTGGGGGATCCTGGGTACCAGGGCTTCTGTCCCTGGGGAGCTGGGGTGCACGGGCCTCCCAGCATGTGGGTGAGTTCACCACCCTGAAGTCCATTGTACAAGAGTTTTGAGGGAGCCTGGTCTCCAGCCCCTGTCCTTCCTGGAGGACGGCAGGGGGCTGGGGAGTGCTGTCGAGGGCCCCGCAAGTCTCCTGTCACTCAGGTGAGATTGAAAGGCTTGTTAGGAGTAACAGTAGATGCTCCCATCCTGTAGGAAATGTAAGGTGTTTTTTTTGGTTTTTTTTGAGACGGAGTCTCGCTCTGTTGCCCAGGCTGGAGTGCAGTGGCGTGATCTCAGCTCACTGCAAGCTCCACCTCCTGGGTTCACGCCATTCTGTCTCAGCCTCCCGAGTAGCTGGGACTACAGGTGCCCGCCAGCACGCCTGCCTAATTTTTTTGTATTTTTTTTTTTTTTTTAGCAGAGACGGGGTTTCACCGTGTTAGCCAGGATGATCTCAATCTCCTGACCTCGTGACCCGCCCGCCTCGGCCTCCCAAAGTGCTGGGATTACAGGCGTGAGCCATCGCGCCGAGCCAGGAAAATGTAAGGTTTTAAGAACTTTGTACAAGAACCAAATAGAACAAAAGATGCTCCTGTCACCCTTCCCACTCAGGAAATTACAAGGAATTTATGAGCTTTGTGTCAGGAACCAGGGACTAAGACCAATAAATACCTGCTGCTTATCACACAGCTCCCCAGGTCCGCTCCCGTGAGGAGCAGGCTCTGCCTTTGCAAGCACTTTCACGAACAGCAGATCCATCTTCCTCCTGTTAGCAATCAGGCGGTCAGGGTGGCGGCCACTTCCCTGCCATGCCGCAGAGACCCTGACCTCCTCCGACATCATGCTCCGGCCCCGGCTTCTGTCCTAGCTGTGGCTCGCTGGTCTCGAGATGGCTGCCTTGCCCCGGCTGTTTCATCTGCATTCCAGGCAGGAAGGTCGAGAAGGGCACGCCTGGGCTTTTCTTTTGAAGACTCCCCCTGAGCCCCACCCTGCCGCAAGGGGCTTGGGCTGTCACCCTGTGGGCTGAGTCCAGGGCTGCCGTGTTGGAGAGGCGTGTGGGAATGTGCGTTTTGGGATGGCAGCCCGAGCCTCCTACAACTTGGCAGAGTTGTCAGGATTTCAAGCCCCGTGTGTCTTTGACCTTTTACCTGAGCTGTGTGAGAAGAGGCATTTTCTTGTTTCTTTGCGAGTCCTTCCTCACTGCACTTCAGCCAGGGCGCCGACACATGGTCGTTCGACTTCTGGCTTGGCCTCTTTTGTGAGTGTGGGGCCTGGTCATATCCTCTTGGTCAGTGTCTCTGTGATGATGAGAACGGGAAGACGGCCACGGTGCCCACCCTGGCAGGACTCTCTCCCCTCGCTGGCGCTGGCTCAGCTGCCGTGAGCGGCCGTAGGCACTGTCCCGGGCCCTCCTGTGGTTGCTCCCAGCCATGCTGCTGGCTGCTTCTGCCGTCCTGGCTTGCAGAGACTCTGGGTCATGCGGGGAAGAGGGCAGAGTCCTCCTCCCTGCTCAGGCAAGAGAGGATCCAGCAAGATTTCTTCCTCCCCACCCTCCTGCCCCTCCCAGTCTGGGCAGCAGATAAAAGCCAGGGCCCCACACTTCTGCCACCTCCTGCTGCTCACACACTCCAGCCAGGGACCTGCCCCCGGGGTCCAACAAGGTAAGGACAGCGGGGCTGCCCCTGAGCAGAACTCTCTTTCTTCCCTGGCTGACTTTGAGGCACCTGAGTCATTGTGGGTAGACAAAAGGGGGAGGGAGAACGGGAGCTTGGGGTCCTGGTCTCAGACCCCATGCTGTCTCCAAGTCTGTGCCCTCTGGGCTGGACTCTTCCTCAGCCCCAGCCCCAGCGCCTCCAGCTCCGCTCTGTCCCCTCAGGGGGCATTGACCCCTTGTAGCCCCGTGGCTTGTTGCCCCTGCACCCCATAACCCTGTGTTGACTTGGGCACCTGTGACATTCATGCATCTGGCCTGCGCCTGTCTCCAGCGCCCACATTCCCACACAGAGCTCTGTCAGGACGTGCCACAGCAGGACTCCCAAGTCCATTCCACCTTCTCCGTCAGGGCAGGCCAATCCTCGTCTGCTGCAAATGTCCTGGGAGTAACAAACCCAGAGCTGGCCTCTCTGGTGTGGTGGCCGCCGGCGCCATGTAGCTGCCTGCCCAGGAGAAGCGGCGAGGCCCACGTGTGAGGCCCTGAGAGCTGGAAATAGGTACTGGATTTCAGTGTCCGATGGAGAAGTCTGTGATATTTTGGATATGTTGGATTAGGTAAAACACATCGTTAAAGTTAATTCCACTTTTCTCTGTGTTTTACTGTGGCCACTGGAGCATTCAGTGGTACGGTGGCTGCGGCTTGCCTTCTCCCGCTGGGTCAGCACCAGGGTACAGGTCATCTGTAGACTTTTGCCTGAGACACAGACGCCTGCTTGGGACATGGACTCCAGCTCCTCAGCCCTGTCCTCCAGCAGCGGTGAAATCTGGAGTGTTCTTGAGTAACGCACTGGCGCCAAGGGGGTGCTGAGCCTTCGCTCTGCCGTCCTTGGCTGAACAAGCTGTTTCTCTGGGGACCACGTCAGGTAACACGTAGGACAGCGGGGTGGTCCAGCAGGGAGGGCATGCGCATCTGTGTGGCAGGACTGGGGGTGATTTTATCCGGGATCCCCTGGGGTGGCCCAGCGTTGGCTCGGGTGTTTCATTCTCACAGAGAACAGGCAGCTTCAGGGGCCACGCGTGCACGAGAGGAGCCCCCAGCCCCCACGGCGCGTTCCTGGGTTTCCATGCTGCGGCATTTAAGAAAAGAGCTCTGTGTCGTGCTGCTGGGGTAGCTTCCGTGAGCTACGCTGGCCTTTTTTTTTTTTTTTTTTTTTTTTTTTTTAATAAAAAGGAGGGCTGGGCATAGTGGCTGATGCCTGTAATCCCAGCACTTTGGGAGGCCGAGGTGGGTGGATCACTTGAGGTCAGGAGTTCAAGACCAGCCTGGCCAACCTGGCAAAACCCCGTCTCTACTAAAAACACAAAAAGTTAGCTGGGCGTGGTGGAGCATACCTGTGATCCCAGCTACTTGGGAGGCTGAGGCAGGAGAATTGCTTGAACCCGGAGAATTGCTTGAACCCAGGAGGTGGAGGTTGCAGTGAGCCAAGATTGCACCATCTCACTCCAGTCTAGGCGACAGAGGAAGACTCTGTCTCAAAAAAAAAAAAAAAAAAAAAAAGAGACAGGGTTTTGCCATGTTGCCTAGGCTAGTCTCAAACTCCTGATCTGCCTGCCTCAGCCTCCCAGAGTGCTGGGATTACAGGCATGAGCCACCAGCCAATACCAGATTTGAACAGTGGTCAGTCCTGGGGATGGAGACGGGGTGAGGGCTGAGCATTCCCTTCTGACCATGTACCTCGTCTTGGTTTAAAATTTTTACAGCAAGGTGTATTACTCTCTTTTATAAAATATCATTAATTTACAAAATCTTGTATTTTTAATTTTTGTGGGTACATAGTAGGTATATATATTTATAAATTTACAAAATCTTTAAAAAAGAACCCCACAGAGTTAAAAGTTGGAGTGTTTTTTGCTTGAAATGTTCTATTGCAGCTGAAGGACTGGGTGGGTCTGTCTCCCCCAGGCTGTGAGGCTATCAGGGCTGGTGCTCCAGGTTGATTGGAGGGCTGAGTTTTTGTTTCTTCCCAGTCCATTGAGACCTGATTTTAGAAGTTAGCAAAAGGAAGCTCTGTGTCAAGTGCTCGGCACCTCTCTGCTCTTCCCGTCTTAAATTGCAGCAGGCTTCTTTCCAGCTAGAGGCTGAAGTGTTCTCAGCTGATGGGAAACCTCCTTTCCAGTGAAGATGTGAGATAAGCACTTTGGTTGGGTTTTGATCCTTGGCTCCTATCTGTGGGAGCAGTGACTTTGTGGTGAGATGGCCTGGGTTTTGAGTCCTGATTCTGCTACTGACTGGCTGTGTGGCTCTGGGCAAGCTGCTGAACCTCTCTGTGCCTCAGTCTCCTCATCTGTAAGGTGTAAGGGCTTCCATGAGGAGCAAATGTGTGGGGCCACAGAGCTGCCAGGTCAGGCCTGGCCTGCAGAGGGGCCTGGTGAGGGCGACCGACGTGCCTGGGGACAGGTACCCCAGCCTATAGGAGGCCACACAATTCAAGTTAGAACGCCTTGCCCCAAATTCTGGAACTCTTTCTGTTGGTGTTGGAGGAGAACACACCCTCCCTCTCCAAGGAGCTGGGCCTGTTGCATCCTGGCAGGGCTGACGTGGCACCTGCTGCCCCGTGCCCTGGGAAGCTGAACCAGCCGGACGCAGCTCCCGGACGCAGCAGAAACGGAATAACCACTCGGCCCACCGGAAGCTGTGATCCTTGCTGGACGTGGAAGTCTCCGCTGCACAATAAGAAGCGACGGTTTCAGGCAGGCCAAGGGCATGATGGTTTCAACTCCAGCCACAGGGGCCCTCTTCTCCGGGGCCTGCAGGTGTACCCCTGCCCTGAGTTCGACACGGCCACTGTTTTGAAAATGCCTGCTCAGAAACGCTGACACAGCGTTAAGGAATATACACACAGGCAAGGTGGCAAGCCCCGTCATTCCGGGGGGCAGCCGAGTTCTGTTTCCCCACCCCGTCACCCCGAGGGAGTGAAATAGGGTAAGGTTCACCAAGACATTCTGCAGATCAGCGTGGGCAGCAGCACTCTGGAGGGTTCAGTGCCTCCCGCCTGGGGACAGAGGCCTCTGCTTCTCCCGACCCGTAGGCTGCAGTGATCCATGCAGTTCACTGCTCTGTCTGAAGGTTTGACTTAGGTTTTAAGTGTTTTTACTCAGAGCAAGCTGATACATGCGCATTTTAGTAATCGTGATAATTGTTCCAACAGATTTCACGTCTGAAACTACATCTTGTTTAGAAATCACTTTCCATGTAGGAGTTTTCCTTCTGGGATGCATTTCAAGCTGGGGCACTCGCTACTGGAGACGTCATCGGATTTACTGAGGAGGGTGTGTTTGCGTGTGTTTGGCTACCTACGGATACTACAGATGAGGCGCTGTCTAATTTTGTTTCACAATGAGCTGAAATTTATCCCCACACCAATCCTCTTTTTGCCCTACGGAGTTTGTGCCTTGGCCCCACCCTAGGTGGCTCCGGCAGGTTCCTCAGCTGTGTGTACCCACCACCCCCACCTTGTCTGCACGTGACTGTGACTGACTTTAGGAGGCCACACAATTCAGGAAGCAGAGTGTGCCACCCTGGCCAGACATACCATATTTTGAAAACTCCGTGCGTTCTCGTTATTTCACTGTGAGGTGCCTGAGTGGCGGGGCCCCGATAGCCAGTCCCCTGTGACCTTCAGAAGGAGGCCACTGCTCCCGTAGTGGGTGCCTCATGCGGGTGGGGAGCTCTGTGTGCCCACCTTTCATGGAAGCAGGGCATGTACAGCCGTGTGGCGGCAGCAACAGCGTAAGATGGTTCCGACAGGCTCCAGAGCACAGGAGACGGGCCTGGCTCTGGGCCGCATGCGGGCTTGTGTGCTTTGTTTGGTTTGCATAGTAACCCGCGCCCTGTCCCCATGTGGATTGGAAGGACACTCTGTCAGCCGCTCCCTGCCATCACCACACACTCCTGGAGCCTCTGCCACCACGGCCCGTGCTGACCCCAGAGCGAGTCAAAGCCAGGAGCCTTCCCACGGTGGGACTTCTATTTTTATGTGTGTCCTTATTTGTTTATTGAAAGATGTGAAGGGCAAGTGGGATTGGCACACAGAACAAGACGGTGCCGCCTGCTGGCCACAGCAAAGCCACCTCCCCCGGTCGCCGCTGTCCTGGGCAAGGCCTGGTCCCTGCAGAACCGGACACGGCCTGCCAGAGCCAGTGTGTGTGGCAGGACAGGGGACACCTGCAGAGGCTTGGCCTGTGGATGCTGCTCCTTACTGGGATGGAGGGAGAAGACGCGGCCCACATTCCTCAGGCTGGAGGGTGGGCAGGATGGGCAGGAGCTGTGGGGCCCGTGAGTGCTGGGCCTTGACCCTCTCTGTTGAGGTCCTGCCTGTGTCACTGGCCTGGGGACAGCTCCCGCCTGGCTGAG